>NC_000009.12:99887218-100038733 GCF_000001405.40 Homo sapiens
GTTTTAAGTTGGTATCTTTTGTTAAATTCTTTTGAAAGCAGAATTCAAACTTTAAATGCAAAAATATTGTTGCTGATAGGTTCACATCATATTCAAGTGTTATATTATACATGACTTTAACAGAATTTTAAGTTAGGAGATGAGCAGTAATGTTAGAAAGTAACATCTGTAACATTACTTTTCCAATATACCTCATCCATGCAAATGTCTCCTGTGGACATTTCAAATAATCTTCACCAAAAGTTAATTAAATAAGAAAAAATAAGAAATGATATTTATCTATTTATAATTAATCTTTTTCCTGATTTACAAAACTACATATAATTCAACAACATTTTATAAAAGCAAGGGAAGGATTAAAAATAAAGTGAATGTGGGAAAAATTAGCCAGAGCTGAAGCAGGGATTCATATTCATGCTTTGAAGTCCTATGTACTTGGTTAAATTTAGCTTAGGCTTTCTAACAGTCATTGCAAAGAAAGAAACAATCAGTTCCATTATTCACAAGTTTTTTAAAAAGTGCTATTTAGAGGGGTACAACACTCCAGGTTCTTGAAGCCTGGGGCTTGCAGAGCTCAATCACCTGCTAGCCAAAAATACTTCCTGGTGGTAAGCTGCTTGAAAGCTGAATTAAGTACTGTATTTTGTTAGGAGGGCCTAAAATATGTCATTCCTCTGCTCTAAAACCTTCAGTGGCTCTCCACTGCCTATACATTAACTATACATTTCTTGATCTGATATTTGAAGCCATCCTTAAAACCAAGTCAAGGTGAGCTCCCTGAAGGCAGATAGCATTTCTTATTCAATATCGTATTACTAGCATTGCCACAGGTCCAGTGACAATGTAGGTGTCAACAGATGCTCAGAAACAACTCTTTTATACAGGGACTCTCAATCACCCAAGAAAATTGGCAGAAACCTCTCCAGTCCTCTTTTCTCTACCTGTAAGGCCTTCCCCTGCCAGCTCTGTTAAATGCTGGCCAATTTCTTCAAAATCAATAATAATATCTTCATCACCAATAACAGCTACAATAACATCACTTTGCATTTGTATTGTGCAGACACAAAGTGCAGACACAAAAAATCCAATTCTATTCTCATAATCAGCCTTGCTTTGTAGTCAGGGCAGGGATCATGGTCCCAGCTCCACAACGCAGAAATCACATCTTGTACAAGATCACATCCTTATTAAATGGGAGATAACATTTCCTCCTGATTTCCACAACAGGTTGTGGTCTCTTTCTCTTCTTCAAACCCTTGTGGCATTCAGTTTGGCATCTCTTATCAAAATAACTCCATTCATTTTACATAGTCCTTTACAGTTTATAAAAAATGGTTTCTCAACCAAAATTCCTATTTTTTTGATTTTTACAACTTCATTTGGAAAAAATTAATCCTCCCCTTACTGTGAGGACCCTGCTGCTTTCTCCGCTCTCTCTAAAAATATAAAAAGTGAAAGCTACTCAGTAGATTTCACCACCATCACTGCATTCATTTTATCATCTGCCAAGAACAATAGAAACTAACATTTTTAAGGTTCCTACTCTCTGGAAGGTTCTGGGGTAATTTTTAAATAAATAATACTGCTTTATTTTACTTCTTTGCCCTTAGACTGTTAAATTTCACACACGCACATGCACACACACATGCACACGCACACACACACACACACACCCTGAAACGGCCCTAATCTGAAAATAAAGTATGTACTCTCCTGCTCTATGGACACTTTGATCAATGGTGAAAGAGAACCAGGAGTAGTGGTGACGAAAAGGAACTTAAATCCTTTCTGAAACTCTGCTACAGTGACTGATTTAAGAATCAAGTCTAGCTGGAGTCCATCAGGGGGATCCAGAATGTGTTGACAAGAGCTGCCAGTTAGGGGAATTTCTGGTGAAGACATCCTCAGGTAGGAAAAGACCCCAGCAGAGAGATTTTGATGAGGAGACTCTTCATCCTTCACCTTGGTTCTGAGTGACAGCTCCAAGCCAGAAGAAGGCTGGAGAACAGAACCAAACTGGAGGCCACCACCAGAAATCTTTTTGGTGTGAGGACTGGAAAGTCCCTGTGCTAAGATGCAGCACTACACAACTCCAGGGGGCACTCTTCACATGGCCCATACTGTGCACATGGCCTTGGAGTTATGTAACATGGGGTCCTCCTCATGGTATCTGGCCCTGTTCTCCCATTGCACTGACTGCATGTCACAGGGGACATCCATGTCGAGACCCTCAAGGGAACTGGAAACTTTCAAGCTTTCATTACTCATTTCATGATTTGGTGCTTGGCATTTTGATTTCAGTTCACTTTATGGCTTTTCCTTGAATAAGATTTTAAAGATATATATGACGGGGAGCACTGGGATTCTCTAGACATGCTAAGCAGGAACTCAAAGGTGAGTATCATGCCAATTGTGTGATTCCCCCCATAGCGTAACTCAGGCTCCTGATGGCAAAGATTTCTCTGGAAAAAAGGTCGACTTCATCCAGACTGTGTGGTCTCCATTCTTTTAGCTATGTTTTTCTGTGAAAAGCATTACCTTTTGAGAAAAGCAAATTAGAAATTATTCTAACTTATATATGGGGCCCAGCAATAATTTCCCATCCACCCTTCAGATCTGTAGTTCCCAAAACTGACTATACTTTAGAATTGTTTACAGAAAATATATTGACACCTGGTTTCTACTCCAGGACAAGTAAGTCAAGATCTCTGAAGGTGGGGCCCAGACAACTACATCTTTTTTTTTTTTTCTTTTTGAGACGGAGTCTCACACTGTCGCTGGGCTGGAGTGCAATGGCGCGATCTTGGCTCACTGTAACCTCCACCTCCCAGGTTCAAGTGATTCTCCTGCCCAAGCCTCTGGAGTAGCTGGGATTACAGGTGCCCCCCAGCACGCCCAGCTAATTTTTTGTATTTTTAGTAGAGATGGGATTTCACTATGTTGGCCAGGCTGTTCTCGAATTTCTGACCTCGTGATCCACCCGCCTCGGCCTCCCAAAGTGCTGGGAGCAACTACATCTTTTAAAAGGTTTCTAAGTGATTCGCTGTGCTGTCAGGGTGGTGACCCTGTGCCTCAGGTAGTTTTTTATTCTTCCTCTAATCTCAGCCTCAGTCATCAATTGAGCTTCAGAAGGTTTGCTCAGCTGGAGAAACTCAGTTATGAAACTGGAGAGGACACTAATGAGAACACAAAGGCAATGAGACGAACAGGTCATTTAAAACAAATATTTATCAAGTGCCACATTCCCAGTCATGTACCAGGTGCTGGGAACACAAAATAATTATGACAAAGTCCCTGCCCTCAAAAAGTTTCTGCTCTATCTGGAAAGACGGGTATGTGAATTACTATAACACAGAGCAAAATTAAATCAAGGTATTATGGGAGCACAGGCTGGGGAAATGAGGGAAGATTTTGGAGAAGAAAATACATTTGAGGTAGGTCTTCAAGGAGGGATAAAGTTCTGATCAATGGAAAAGAGGAAGAAGGCATTCCAAAGCGGTATAGCTTGAGCAAAGGCATAGAGGCAAGAAAGTGGATGGGATATTGAGGAACTATAGGAACCTGGTTCAGAAAATAGTAGCCTATGAGGCAGGAGGTTTTTATTTTTTAATTATTACTTTTAAAATTTTCTGTAGAGATGGGGTCTCATGTTGCCCAGGCTGGTCTCAAACTCCTGGACTCAAGCGATCCTCCTGCCTCAGCTTTCCAAAGTGCTTGGGTTACAGACGTGAGCCACTGCACCTGGCGAGGCTGGAGATTTAAACTTAAATGTGAAGCCAGACACATTTGTACTACGATTGCACCTGTGAATAGCCACTGCACTCGAGCCTGGGCAATATAGCAAGACCCTGTCTCTTAAAATGTTTTTGAAATTAAAAAAAAAATTGGTGGAAGGCCTCAGAAGCCCCCACAAGTAATCTGTAGGTGTTATGAGTTTGTGAGTCTATACAGTATGTGTCTTAGATGGAGAGAACACAATAAAGATAAAAATCAAATTGTGCCATGATAAGATCTGAAACAAATAGAAACATGATCAATATGAACTTTGATAAATACCTCTGAGGTAGTTACTCATCCTGTTTTTGGGCAGCCTTCTCTGATTTTATGCTTTAGCACTTGTAGGTGTTAACTATGAAGCAGAAAGCTGCACAGACAAGCCACTTAAATTATTCATCCTAAATCAAGTTGAGTTTAAGAGTCTCCTCTTGTTACTCCCACTACTCTGAGGGAGCTGGACACACCACTGTTGCATTTTTTTCCTGTGCTTTTTACATATGTTCTCTCCGTTGAGAATGCTATTTCTTCCTTCTGTGATAATGCCCATGTACTGACTAAACTCTTAAGTTGCCAGCTCTGTGTGTCTTTCTATAGCATTTTTATAGGGACAGCTAATCTAACAGTTATTAATTATACTGTATTTAGTAACATGTCTGTGTTCCCTCCCAGACTGTCAACCCCTGGAAGACAGAAACAGGATCTTTTTAAACTTTCAATCACCAGGACTCAGCACAGTGGCTGACATGCTGGTGGTGCAGACTGAATGAGTGAATGAGAAAGCACTTACCAGATGTTGGAAAGATTTAAAGATATCAATTATGTCCTTTAATGTTTAGGTACTGGGATTCGGGAAATTTTTTTCCATATTTAAAACCATTTGCTCAGGTTCAAAACACTTCTCTTCTGAAGTGTTCACTTATATAAGCAAAATGACAGTTGCTGAACCTATCAATTTATTTCTGTGAAACAAGCAACATTTCTCTCTTTAGTACTAATCTGCCAAGGAAATATTAAAGTTAATGTATCTTTGGCTAGAAGTATAAATATTACTCAAAAAGCTCCTAAAAACAACTGAAGCCTACAAAAGGGGAAAAAATCCCTTAAGGGATATGACAATAGAATTTGGGGCTTCCTGGGATAAGAGGAGAGAGGGTGGTGCTCTTTGTGAATTTTGACGATTTCCAGTTCCTTAAATGTATTCCACTACTTGGGGGATTAAAAGGTTTACTGGTGAGAGTGTCAGTTGTCAAAGGACTGAGGATAGATTCTATAATCCTGTAAAAGAGAGCTCCAACAGCTTCTCCGACAGGAATCTTGAAATATTTGTTATCTCAGGAATAATTTTGCCCTATTGTTATACTTCCTTGGTTCTTTAACAATCCTGTTGCCCCTGGAAGAAATAACATGTTTAAGGAAATTAATTTTTGCACCGTTGCTCCCAAATTCTATTTGTAAGGCACCTTGTCTATTACTCCGTGCATTTGTATTGGTTTTTGCCTCATATATTTTGATGCTCTGTTGTTAGGTGTGTACACATTAAGGATTGTTTTGTCCTCTTGGAGAATTGAACCATTTATCATTAGGTAAGTGCTCTTCTTCATCCCTGATAATTTTCCTTGTTCTGAAGTCTGCATTGACTGCAATTAATAGAGCTACTCCAGCTTTCTTTTGAATAGTGTTAGCATATATTATGGGTTGAATTGTGTCCCCTCCCCCAGATTTTTATTGTTGAAGTTCTAACTCCCAATACCTCAGAATGTGACTTGTATATTTGGATACAGGGTCTTTAAAGAGGTATAAAATTAAAATAAGGTCATAAGAATGGGCCCTAATCCACTATGGTTAGTGTCCTTATATGAAGAGGAAATTTGGACACAGATACGAACAGAGGGAACTCTATATTCTTCTCAAGAGGGAGAAGATGGCCATCTACAAGCCAAGGAGAGAGGCTAAGAACAGATCCTTCCCTCATGATCCTCGGAAAAAAATAATTCTGCCAACTCCTTGATCTCAGACTTCTAACCTCCAGATTGTGAGAACATAAATTTCCCTTGTTTAAGCCACCAATTTCTAGAACTTTGTTATGGAAGCCCTAGCTAATGAATACAGCATGGTATCTCTTCCACCATTCCATTACTTTTAACCTACTCGTGTCTTTGTAGAGTGAGTTTCTTGTAGACAACATATGGGTCTTGTTTTTTATTGTCTGACAATCACACTCACAAAAAATTGATATATTTGGACAATTCACACTTAAAGTGGCTATTGATGTATTTGGTTTAACATCTACATGTTCCTAATGTTTTCTACTCATTGCACTTGTTCTTTGTTTATTTTTGCTCCCCCTTCTTTTCTATCTTCTTTTGCATATCAATTACACTTCTTTTTGAATTTTTTAGGTAGTTGCCCTAGAGTTTTCAATATACATTCACAACTGATCTAAGTCCACTTTCAAGTAACAAAATGCCACTCTAGAGGTAGTGCAGTTACCTTATTCCCAATTCCTCCCTCCCATCCCTTAAAGCATTTATGCCATTCATTTGACTTATCCATAAGCTATCATCACCCAATATATTGTTACTGTTATTACTTTAAACAGAGAGCTGAAAGGTTTAAAGCACTGGAGGGACAACAGGACACATACCAAATTACTGTACTAAAATGTAGACTGATGGGTCAAAAATACCAGAAAGTCCACATTATAAGGTAGTCATTTGGAGGAAGGAGGCATTAAATCTAGAAATTCTAGAAATATTAGGAGAGGCCATAGTTGGTATGAACATAGAAAGATGAGTATGATTTGGACATACTTAGAGGGAAGAGCAATTGGTAGAGAATATCCCAGGTGGCAGGCACAGGATAGGATTGGGGAAAGCATTGGGATTAAAAAACACTGAGAATTTCAATCTGGTTAGAACTAAAGATGTATGATGGAAAGTAACTGGAAATAAAGTTAGAAAATAAGGTTGGGCTCATGTGGAATTTCTATTAACTTGCGTGTTTGTTCATCTACCATGTGATATTATTGACATTCATAATAATAATAACTAAGGTATTACAAAATCCAAAGTGCCTTGCAAACTGCTAAGGTAAAAATAACATTTGATATAATTTTAATGCTGTTTGTTTACTGTGTTCTCATTGTAAGCATAGTGTAAAGTTCCATGTTTGATGAGGAGTTAGGATGGTAAGGGATGTGAATAAGAGGAATTAAAGTCAGTGAACAAAGCAAAAATTACATAGTCAAAATTACCCTTGAAAATTCTTTAAATTGTCCAAAAGGTTTGTTAAGCATGACTTTATAAATACTATTTTATGCAATAATTCTTGGGCACACTAAGTTGTGAGAATAACTAAACTAGCTAATCTAAAGAACAAAAAAGGGGAAGAGGGAAAAAGGGAACGAAATTTATAAGCAGATGTCTGGGCATTTAAGCCACTCCATATATAAAATGATTATCAAATTCCTCTGTAGTGAATGGGAAAGTGTTTACTCATTTGGGTTTGCTATAAAGCCTCTTTAACCTTACTATATATATGAACTGTTTGGTGATGGTGTGTGTGGTGGCAGAGGACAATAAAGCAGACAGTGGTGAGGTTTAAGTACTAAAGTCAGTGGATTCATTATATAAATATGTTTAAATTGATATCATAAGATAGTAGAAACATGGGATTTTGTGTCTACAATAGTTACAATTATCTAGATTGAAAGTAGAAGTTCATTTGAGCTAGTTAAAACAAAGAAAAATGAGGGATAGATTGGAGGGAGGTGGAGCCAGACACCTTCCATGAACATCTCCCCTCCAGGAAGAGCAAACTGAAAAACTATCCACACAAGAAAGCCCCTTTGTAAGAACCAAAAATCAGGTGAGTGATCACAGTACCTGGTTTAAACAGCTTATCAAGGAAGGGCACTGAAGAGGGTAGGAAAGACAGTCTTGAATTGCTGACACCACCCCTCCTCCATCCTCCAGCAGCAGCCGCGTGGTGAGGAGAGAGAATCTGTATGCCTGGGGGAGGAAGAGCACAGTGATTGTGAGACTTTGCATTGGAACTCAGTGCTGCCTGTCACAGTGGAAAGCAACACAAGAAAGAATTTAGCTGGTGCTCAAAGAGGGAGCATTTAGACCAGCCCTAGCCAGAGGGGGATCATCCATCCCAATAGTCAGAACCTGAGTTCCAGCAAGCCACATGACCATGGGCTAAAGTGCTCTAGGACCCTAAATAAACTTGAAAGGCAGTCTAAGCAACAAGGACTGCATTTCCTGGGGAAGTCCTGGTACTGTGCTGGACTCAGAGCCAGTGGACCTGGGGGGAACGTGACCTAGTGAGACCCCAGCTGGGGTGGTCAAGGGAGTGCTTATGTCAAACCTCCCTTAACCCTGGGCAGAACAGTTTGCAGCTCCAAAAGAGATTCCTTCCTTCCACTTGAGGAGAGAGAGGGAAGAGTAAAGAAGACTCTGTCTTGCAACTTGTATACCATCTTGGCCACAGTAGAACAGGGTACCAGGAAGAGTACTGAAGCCCCCAAACCAGTCCTAGTTCCTGAACAACATTTCTAGACACTGTGGGCCAGAAGGGGACCCTCTGCCTTAAAGAGAAGGACACAGTTATGGCAGGATTCATCTCTTGCTGACTAAAGAGCACTTGGGCCTTGAATAAACACCAGCGGCAGCAAGGCAGTACTTGTCACAGGACTTGGATGAGACTGAGTGCTGTGCTAGCTTCAGGTGTGACCCAGCACATTCCCAGCTGTAGTGGCTACGGAGAGATACTCCTTCGGTTTAACGAAAGGAGAGGGAAGAGTAAGCCTTGCAGCTAGCTTGGCCGCAGTAGGGTAAAGCACCAAGTGCGCTCCTGGGGTCTCTGATTCCAGGACTTTGCTCCTAGATGGTATTCCTCAACTAACCCTGGGCCAGAGGGGAGCACACTGCCCTAAAGAGAGACCCAGGCCTGGCAGCATTCACTGCAAGCTGACTGAAGAGCCCTTGGGACTTGGGTAAACCAAGCAGTACTTGCCATAGGCCTGGGGTGGTGGTGGCCATGGGGAGAAACTCCTTCTTCTTGAGGAAAGGAGAGGTAAGAGTGGAAAGGACTTTATCTTGTGGCCTAGGTGCTAGCTCAGCCACAGTAAAATAGAGCACTAAGGAGCTGCCTAAGGTTCCCAGCTCCAGGCCCTGGCTCCCAGATAGCATTTTTGGACCTGCCCTGGGCTGAGGGGAGCCTATAGTCCTGAAGGGAAGGACAGAAGGCTAGCTGGATTTGCCACCTGCTGACTGAAGAGCCCTTGAGCCTTGAGTGAACACTGGCAGTAGCCAGAGTGGCTGCTGCAGGCCTTGGGCGAGACCTAGTGCTATGCTGGCCACAGGTATGACCCAGCACAGTCCCAGTGGTGGTGGTTACGGGAGTGCTTGTGTCACTCCTCCCCCAGATCCAGGAAGCTCATCATGGAGAGACTCCATTTATTTGGGATAAGTAAGAAAAGTGAACAAGAGTCTCTGTCTGGTAATCCAGGGAATTCTCTCAGATCTTACCCAAGACCACCAAGGCAGTACATCTACGAGTCTGCAAGAGTCACAGCACTACTGGGCTTAGGGTGGCCCCTAATGCAGATATGCTTGCAGTGAACAGAGACTTATATCACAACACTCAATTCCCTCTGAATACCTGGAAATCCTTCCCAAGAAGGATAGGTACAAACAAGCCCAGACTGCAAAGACTACACCTAACTCTTCAATGCCCAGACATTGCTGAATATCCACAAGCATCAAGACCATCAAGGAAAACATGACCTCACTAAACAACATAAATAAGGCACCAGTGACCAATTCTGGAGTGACAGAATTACATGAACATTCAGACAGAAAATTCAAAATAGCTCTTTTGAGGAAGTACAACAAAATTCAAGATAACACAGAGAAGGAATTTAGAATCATATCAGATAAATTTAACAGAGATTCAAATAATTTTTAAAAACCAAGCAGAAATTCTGAAGCTAAAAAATTCAGCTGGCATACTGAAGAAGGAATCAGAGTATCTCAACAACAGAACTGATCAAGCAGAAGAAAGAATGAGTGAGCCTGAAGATAGGCTACCTGAAAATACACAGTCACAGGAGACAAAATGAAAAAGAATAAAAAAGAATAAGGCATGCCTACAGGATCTAGAAAATAGCCTCAAAAGGGCAAATCTAAGAGTTACTGGCTTTAAAGAAAAGGTAGAGAGAGATTGGGGTAGAAAATGTATTAAAAGGGATAATAACAGAGAACATTCCAAACCTAGAGAAAGATATAGGTATTTAAGCACAAGAAGATTATAGAACACCAAGCAGATTTAACCCAAAGAACATTACTTCAAAGCATTTAATAATCAAACTCGCAAAGGTGAAGGAAAGGAAGAACCTTAAAAGCAGCCAAAGAAAAGAACCAAATAACATACAAAGGAGCTCCAATATGTCTGGCAGCAGACTTCTCAGTGGAAACCTTACAGGTTTGACATGGCAGTACATATGGTGTGACAGAGTGGCATGACATATTTAAAGTGATGAAGAAAACACGTTTATCCTAGAATAGTATATCCGGTAAAAAATATCCTTCAACCATGAAGAATAAATAGAGACTTTCCCAGAGAAAGAAAAACTGAGGGATTTCATCAACACCGAACTTGTCCTACAAGAAATGCTAACGGGAGTCCTTCAATCTGAAAGAAAAGGATGTTAAGCAATAAGAAGTGATCTGAAGGTACAAAACTCACTGGTAATAATAAGTAAACAGGCAAAAACGGAAGTTTTTTCTTAAGACAGGGTCTAGCTTTGTTGCCCACCCAGCCTGCAGTGCAGTGGTGCTATTAATAACACAGCTCACTGCATCCTCAACTCCTGGGCTCAGGTGATCCTCCCACCTCAGCCTTCCAAGTGGCTGGGACCACAGGCTCATGCCACAGTGCCTGGCTTATTTTTTTAAAAATTTTTGAAGAGACAGGGTCTTGCCATGTTGCCCAGGCTAGTCTCAAACACATGGGCTCAAGGTGTTCAGACTGCCTGGGCAACATGGCCAAAACTGTCTTGCCCTCCCAAAGTGCTGGGGTTATAGGCATGAGCTACTGTGCCCAGCCAAACACAGAATATCGTAACACTGTAATTGTGGTATGGAAATTACTCACGTCTTGAGCAGAAATACTAAAATATGAACCTATCAAAAATAATAATTACAACAACTTTTCAAGACACGGACAGTGTAAGATATAAATAAGAACACCAAAAAGTTAAAAAGCAAGCAGTTAAAGTGTAAAGTGAAGTTGAAGTGTAGAGTTTTTATTACTCTTCTCTTTGCTTATTTGTTTGTTTTTACAACCAGTGTTTAGTTGTTATCAGCTTAAAATAATGGGTTATAAGCTGTTATTTCCATGCCTCATGAGAACCTCAAATTTAAAAACCTACAGCAGATACACAAAAAGTAAAAAGCAAGAAATTGGAACATACCACCAGAGAAAATACTCTTCACAAAAGGAAGGAAGGGCGGGAGGGAGGGAGGAAAGAAAGCAGGCAGGCAGGGAGGGAAGACCACAAAACAACAAGAAAACAAATTATAAAATGGCAGAAGTAAGTCCTTACTTATTGATAGTAACATTTCATATAAATGGACTAAACTCACCAATCAAAAAGACACAGAGTAGTTGAACTAATTAAAAAAGACACAAAGATCTGTTGTCTACAGGAAACACAGTTTACCTATAATGACACATGGATTGAAAATAAAGAGATGGAAAAAAATATTCCTTGCCAATTGAAACAAACAAAAAAGGAGCAGGAGCAGCCATATACGCTTTTTGTTTTTTGTTTTTTTTTTGAGATGGAGTCTCGCTCTGTTGCCCAGGCTGGAGTGCAGTGGCATGATCTCAGCTCACTGCAACCTCTGCCCTACTGGGTTCAAGCAATTCTCCCACCTCAGCCTCCTGAATAGCTGGGATTACAGGCACATGCCACCACGTCTGGTGAATTTTTGTATTTTCAGTAGAGATGGGGTTTCACCATGTTGGCCAGGCTGGTCTTGAACTACCGACCTCAAGTTATCTGCCCATTTCAGCCTCCCAAAGTGCTGGGATTACAAGCAGGAGCAGCTATATTTTTATTAGACAAAAGATTTCAGACAAAGTCTATAAAAAGAGACAAAGAAGGTCATTATATAATGATAAAGGGGTCAATTCAGCAAGAGAATTTAGTAATTCTAAACATATATGCACCTAACACGGGAGAGCACCCAGGTATACAAAGCAAATATTATTAAAACTAAGGTCAGAGATAGACCCCAATACAATGATAGCTGGAGACTTCAACACCCTATTTTCAGCATTGGACACATCACCCAGACAGAAAATCAACAAGGAAACACTGGATTTAATCTGTACTATAGACCAAATGGACTTAATAGATATTTACAGAACATTTCATCTAATGCCTGTAGAATACACATTCTTCTCTTTATTATATGAATCATTCTCAAGGATAGGTCATATATTAGGTCACAAAACAAGTCTTAGAACACTCAAAAAAATCAGAATAATATCAAGTGCCTTCTCTCACCATAATGGAATAAAACTATAAATCAAAAACAAGAGGAACTTTGGAAACTATACAAACACATAGAAATTAAATAATAGGCTCTTGAATGACCAGCAGGTCAATAAAAAAATTAAGAAGGAAATTTAAAATTTCCTAAAACAAATGAAAATGGAAACATGACACACCAAAAGCCATGAGATACAGCAGAAGCAGTACTAAGAGGAAAGTTTATAGCAATAACCACCTAATAAAAAAGGAGAAAAACTTCAAACAACCCAACAATGCATCTTAAAGAACTAGAAAACAAGAGCAAACCAAACCTCAAATTAGTAGAAGAAAATAAATAATAAAAATCAGAGCAGAAATAAATGATATAAAAATGAACAAAACAATACAAAAATCAATAAAATGATAAGGTGGTTTTTGAAAAGATAAATAAAGTCAATCAACTTTTAGCTAGACTAAGAAAAAAGACAGAAGACCCAAAGAAATAAAATCAGAGATGAAAAAGGAGACACTATAATCTAAACTGCAGAAATTCAAAAGATCATTAGAGACTACTATGAGCAAGTATATGCCAATAAATTAGAAAATCTAGAATAAATGGACAAATTTCTAGACACATACAACCTGCCAAGATTGAACCATGAAGAAGTCAAAAACCTGAACACACCAATCATAAGTAATGAGATTGAAGCTATAATAAAAAGGCTTCCAGCAAAGAAAAGCCCACTCAGGTGTCTGCTCCTGGACCAATTCCCTCTGGTCAAGGGTAGGAAGGGGTTCATGCTGGTACAACAGAGACTCATAACTGTTAGCATTCAGATCTGGAGGGGAGGAGCAGTTCCTGGGCTTTTCTTTGCAGTTCTCAGAAAAGTAATGGGCCAGGAAGATAACCTATTAGGTCTATACCATTGTGCCAAATTTGGATTTTATTTCAGATTCTTCATATACTTGCTTTATGATACTAGAAAATTTATTTCTTAATTCATGTAAAATACATTGTTTTCCTAGGATGTTCCAGGAACCGTACTAGGTTCTAAGTAAATAATAATGTATATCTTTCCTCAAGAAACTTAGAATCTAGTAGAGTCACAGATAAGAAGATGAAGAATTCAACTAATTATGATAAGGACCTTTATAGGGATAAGCATAGATTGCTGTAGTAGCTTATAAGGGGACATTAAACCTGGACTTGAGAGGGTGAGAGTATTAGTCTGTTTTCACGCTGCTGATAAAGACATGCCCGAGACTGGGAAGAAAAAAAGATTTAATTGAACTTACAGTTCCACATGGCTAGGGAGGCCTCAGAATTATGGCAGGAGGTGAAAGGCACTTCTTACATGGTGGTGACAAGAGAAAATACGGAAGATGCAAAAGCGGAAACCCCTGATAAAACCATCAGATCTCACGAGACTTATTCACTACTACGAGAACAGTATGGAGGAAACTGCCCCCATGATTCAAATTATCTCCCAGCAGGTCCCTCCCACAACACGTGGGAATTACGGGAGTATAATTCAAGATGATATTTGGGTGGGGACACAGAGCCAAACCATATCATTCAGCCCTTGGACCCTCCGAATCTCATGTCCTCACATTTCAAAAGCAATTATGCCTTCCCAACAATCCCCCAAAGTCTTAACTCATTTTAGCATTAACCCAAAAGTCCACAGTCCAAAGTCTCATCTGAGACAAGGCAAGTCTCTTCTGCCTATGAATCTGTGAAATCAAAAGCAAGCTAGTTACTTTCTAGATACAATGGGGTACAGGTATTAGGTAAATGCAGCTGTTACAAATGGGAGAAATTGGCCAAAACAAAGGGGTTACAGGGCACGTGCCCTGTAACAGAAAGCAGTCAAATTCTACAGCTTCAAAATGATATCCTTTGACTCCACGTCTCATATCCAGGTCATGCTGAGGCAAGAGGTAGGTTCCATTGTCTTGGGCAGCTCCATCCCTGTGGCTTTGCAGGGTATACCACCCCTCCTGGCTGCTTTCACGGGCTGGTGTTGAGTGTCTGTGGCTTTTCCAGGTGCACAGTGCAAGGTATCAGTGAATCTACCATTCTGGGGTCTAGAGGACTAGAGGACGGTGGCCCTCTTCTCACAGCTCCACTAGGTAGTGCCCCAGTAGCATCTCTGTGTGGGGGCTCTGACCCCACATTTCCTTTCTGTACGGCCTTAGCAGAGGTTCTCCATGAGGACCCCACCCCTGCAGCAAACTTTTGCCTGGGCATCCAGGCATTTCCATACATCCTCTGAAATCTAGGTGGAGGTTCCCAAACCCCAATTCTTTACTTCTGTGCACTTGCAGGCTCAAAACCACGTGGAAGCTGCCAAGGCTTGGGGCTTGCACCCTCTGAAACCACAGCCCAAGCTCCACATTGGCCCCTTTCAGCCACAGCTGGAGCAGCTGAGACACAGGGCACCAAGTTCCTAGGCTGTACACGCACGAGGACCCTTGGTCCAGCCCATGAAACCATATTTTCCTCCAAGGCCTCCAGGCCTGTGATGGGAAGAGCTGCTGTGAAGACCTCTCACATGCCCTGGAAACATTTTCCCCATTGTCTTGGCGATTAACATTTGGCTCCTCATTACTTATGCAAATTTCTGCAGACAGCTTGACTTTCTCCTCTGAAAATGGGATTTTCTTTTCTGTCACATTGTCAGGCTACAAATTTTCCAAACTATTATGCTCTGCTTCCCTGATAAAACTGAATACCTTTAACAGCACCCAAGACACCTCTTGAATACTTTGCTGTTTAGAAATTTCTTCCACCAGATACCCTAAATCATCTCTCTCAAGTTCAAAGCTCCACAAATCTCCAGGGCAGGGGCAAAATGCTGGCAGTCTCTGCTAAAATATAACGAGAGTCACTTTTGCTCCAGTTCCCAACAAGTTCCTCATCTCTATCTGAGACCACCTCAGCCTGGACCTTATTGTTAATATCACGATCAGCATTTTTGTCAAAGTCATTCAACAAGTCTCTAGGAGGCTCCAAACTTTCCCACACTTTCCTGTCTTCTTCCGAGCCCTCCAAACTGTTCCAACCTCTGCCTGATAACCAGTTCCAAAGTTGCTTCCACATTTTTGGGTACCTTTTCAGCAACGCCCCACTCTACTGGTACCAATTTACTGTATTAGTCCATTTTCATGCTGCTGATAAAGACATACCCAAGACTGGGAAGAAATACAGAAGAACTGTATTTGGACTTACAGTTCCACATGGCTGGGGAGGCCTCAGAGTCATGGCGGGAGGTGAAAGGCACTTCTTACATGGCAGCAGCAAGAGAAAATGAGGAAGATGCAAAAGTGTGGAAACCCCTGATAAAACCATCAGATCTCTTGAGACTTATTTACTACCATGAGAACAGTATGGGGGAAATCGCCCCCATGATTCAAATTATCTCCCATGATTCAAATTATATCCCACCAGGTCCTTCCCACAACATGTAGGAATTATGGAAGTACAATTCAAGATGAGATTTGGGTGGGGACACAGAGCCAAACCATATCAGTGGGAGAAGCTTCCTAGGTGAGATGACTTTTGAGTCCAGCAGAATAAAGAGTAATTTCTTTACTCTGGGGTGGGGGGAAAGAGATGGGGGAAAGCAGGCAAAAAATGGCATTCTAAGAAGAAAGAGTAATAGTTGCAAAATCAATTTGGATTTTTTAAAATGTTTTATTATAGAAATCATAAAGGGGGCCTGGTGTGGTGGCACACACCTGTAATCCTAGCACTTTGGGAGGCTGAGGTAGGAGGATCACTTGAGCTCAGGAATTGGAGACTAGACTGGGCAACACAGGGAGTCCCAATTTCTAGAAAAATAAAATTAGCCCAGCATAGTGGCATACACCTGTGGTTCCAGCTTCTTGGGAAGCTGAGGCAGGAGGAGGTCAAGGCTGCAGTGAACCATGATCACCCCCATTGCACTCTAGTCTGGGTGACAAAGCAAGATTCTATCTCAAAACAAAACACGAAGGAAGGAAGGAAGGGAGGGAAGGAAATAAGAAAGGAAAGGAAAAGGAAGGAAGGAAATAAGAAAGGAAAGGAAAAAAGGGAAGGAAGGAAGGAAATAAGAAAGGAAAGGAAAAGAAAGGGAAGGAAGGGAAGGAAGGAAGGAAAAAAGAAAGAAAAGAAAGAAAAACAAGAAAGAAAGAAAAAGAAAGAGAAAAATCATAATGGGATTTTGATAAATTTTTAAGTTAGTTTGGTGGAAATGGACAACTTTACAATATTGACTGTATTACTTTTCCACATAGTCAAGTCTTTACTTGTATCTTATATGGAAATATGGAAGTCAGGTTAAAGTATAAATACTGTTACGTAAGATTTGAGTCTTACTCCTGTTATGTAGTATATGAGACTTGGACCTTGGTCAAGTTACTCTCTAAGCCTCAATTTCCTAGTTTGTATGAAGGGGGTGATTGTAATACCTACTTCATGGGTTGTCATCAGTATTAAATAACATATTGCATGTAAAGCGCCTAACCAAGTGCTTTACACATCACATGCAATCAAATAAAAAGCTACTTCTTCCCCCCTCCCTTTTTACATGGCTTTATTTAGGTATAATTCACATACAATAAGCACTTATACATAAACATATTTACAGTGTACAATTTGGTAAGTTTTGACATATATATACGTCCATGCAGCTATTACCACAATCAAGATAATGAACATTTCTATCACTCCCAAAGTTTCCTTATGCCCCTTTGTGATCCTTCCTTCCACCCCTATCCCTCATCTAGCTATTATTCTCAATTCTTCAAATAGGTCTTGTAATTCCTTATAAACACAAACTTGATTTTTGTCATTTTTGAATGTAATCTTCCTCCCAGTACATTTCAATTTTTTTTTTTTTTTTTTTTTTTGAGACAGGGTGTCAGTCTTTTCTGCAGGCTGGAGTGCAGGCTGGTGGGATCATAGTTCATTCCAGCCTCAAACTCCTGGGCTCAACTGATCCTCCTGTTTCAGCCTCCTGAGTAGCTGGGATTATAGGTACATGCCACCATACCCAGCTACGTTTTTTTTGTTTTTTTTAGAAATGGGGTCTCACTATTTTGCCCAGGTTGGTCTTGAATTTCTAGCCTCAAGCAATCCTCCCTCATTGGCCTCCCAAAGTGCTGAGATTATAGGCATGAGCCATCACGCCCAGTCTTCTTCTCATTACATTTTAAAATTGATGATTGTTGTTTAGGAGAGGTATTTTATAGCCATCTTATTGAATTAGTTTCAGTTTATTCCATGGATTTTCCAAGAAAGCAATCAATCATAACACCCTAAGAATTTTTTTTAATTTTCTTTCCAACATATACACTTAATGTTTTGTTTGGACTTGCTGGGTTCAGTTAGGACTTCAGGAAAATGTCGGCCAGTAGTAGCAGGCCTGCCCCTAACAACTTGATGACCTAGAGTACACAAAAGAGGTCCACACACCATATGTTTGAATATTTAAAGATTATAAATCAAGCTAACCAACAGTTAGATTAAAAGGTTTTGGTCGGGCATGGTGGCTCACACCTGTAATCCCAGTACTTTGGGAGGCCGAGGCGGGCGGATCACGAGGTCAGGAGATCAAGACCATCCTGGCTAACATGGTGAAACTCTGTCTCTATTAAAAATACAAAAAATTAGCCGGGCATGTTGGCACACGCCTGTAGTCCCAGCTACTCAGGAGGCTGACACAGGATAATCGCTTGAATCTGGGAGGTGGAGGTTGCAGTGAGCTGAGATCATGCCACTGCACTCCAGCCTGGGCGAAAGAGCAAGACTCTGTCTAAAAAAAAAAAAAAAAAAAAAATGTTTATCCTACTACTTTGACACACCTAACTTACAGCAAACATACATATAACAACTTAGAAGTCCAGGTCCAAATTTAGAATCTTTGAGTACCACACCTCCTGATTTTGTACCTGAGGAAGCTTTTTCAGAACTTAACACAAATGATCTTTTATTTCAAAAGATCTTATTTCACTGATCCTTGCATAAAAAACATTTTCTCACAGTATTGCCTAATACTTTAATTTTTCTCCTTAGAATCAAAATTTGATAAATACATTCTGGAGCTCATTGTAAAACAAATATCAGTATACATTATGTCCCCAAAGAAAATCCAAATTGCTTGGTAGATTTGGTGCTTTGTTTTAGAAATTGTCTTTCAAGGCTTTTTAAAGGATCTACAGGCCCCTAATCTTCCCTGTTTACCTCCTACTCTACTGGAAGACCCTAAGAACTCAGTTTCCTTAACTGTGGTTTGAACATCCTGATCACTTCTGAGACAATGCCATTAGTGAATACATTCTAAGCACGTCATCTGAATATTCACAGACATCTTTTTAAAAGGGCTGGATCTGGAAGTTAGGCCATGAAGAGAGGAGGACCTGTGACTTGGACAAGGCTTCAAAGCCGGCCACCTGCTTGTTCATGTGGTTGCAGCTGGTCTAACTGGAATAACTTGGGAAGGAAATTAGGACACCCAGTTGGAGTTCCAGCTCTGCCATAAGCTGGCTGAACTGGAGTGAGTCACTTAAAACTCTTTGTTAAACCCCAG
Organism: Homo sapiens; assembly: GCF_000001405.40. Lineage (NCBI taxonomy): Eukaryota > Metazoa > Chordata > Mammalia > Primates > Hominidae > Homo > Homo sapiens. Next base: position 99,906,116 of record NC_000009.12, read on the forward strand.
AGTCATAATCTATAAAATCGGGATAAAGACGTTTGCCTTAAGCCCTCCACCAGTTTTTGGAGGAAACCACAATTTGCTGAGCTTTAATTTTTACACCTGTTGCAATTAAGATGGCACTCCTGCCCTGTCCACTTCACAGGGCTTTTGGGGACGGGATGGGGAGGCACCACCTTTCTGAGCTTCAGTTTCAAAACAGAGCTAAGAATACATGCCCAACCCGCAAATAAAATTCTAGGAAGAACAGAGGAAAACGGACAGGAAAACTGCGAAATGCAGTCGGCCATACAAGCATGAATTGTCTTAAACACAACAAGCAGACCTAAAGAGCGTTTGTGCGTCTCTCTCCTCTTGGCTCGAGTCACAACCCCATAACGTAAATCAATATCACTTTTGAAAAAGGCTTTCGCTGTTCTCAGCAGCGTCCGCATTTGTACTCACCTGTGCGCCCCCAGCGCCCGGCCTGGGGGCCCTGCGGGGCGGGGGCGGGGGCGGGGGCGGGGCCCAACCCTGCCCACCCCTCGTGATGCCCCGCCCCGTCGCTCCTGCGCCTGCGCCGTGCCCACCGACCGGCCTCGAGCGCCCCGGCGGGAGGTAAGGGGCTCTCTGGAGGCCGCCTTTGGGGGCGTCGGGCCCTCACAGGCTTGGTGGGCCTGGCGCCCGTGTGGCGCGCGCAAGAGGCGCTGGGCGGCAAGTAGGGCATTGGATCCGAAGTGCGAGCGCCATGGTGGCTCCTCCTGTTTTTCAGAAGTGGCGGAGCCTCGCTTGGTTTCGTTTTTGGAAGCTTTATTGGAAGCTGGTATAGGGAGGCCGCAGACGATGCGAGCAGGACGGCCTCCCGGGGTCGCGGGGTGGAAAAGTTTCCGGCGCGCGTCCTGTCTCTGGCGCGCTGTAGGCCCCGGGTCGCCAGGGTCGCTGGCGTCTGGGTCCCGGGACAGACCCGCGCATCCGTTCGCTGGTGGGGGCGTTTGGTGTGTGTGGCCCAGGTGTGCTGTGGGTGACACTGCGAGGAATGACGCGACGCTCGATGGTAGTGAGGCTCGGAGGACTGGGAGCGAGAGGCCGGAAGCCCCTGCTCGCCAAACCCAGAGGTGGTTGGCAGAAGGTCCCACACCTTGGCTCCCTCCTTTTAGCTAACCGAGGTTCAGAGAGGAGACTTTACTTTGACTTTTCTCTCCAAATTCGGTATCTCTTCCATAAGTCAGAAACATTAAGCGGCGGGCCGGAAGAAATCGGGCGCCACTAGTATCCTGAAAAGTGGGAGCTCTGGGCCGATGGAAGGTGTTCGTCACTTTTGGGGGCTGGGTTTCCTGAGAAATGGGGTCTTTCACTTATTAATAACCTCCTAAGTAACTTACTGGGAAACATGAGTATTATGGTACCCATCTCATATTAGTTGTAAGCACTACATGATAAAGTTTGTAAAGCACCTGGCACAGTCCTGGCACCCCTCTCTCCAAGTATTAATGCAGTGAATACGATGGCAGTTCTTTGACTTCTAAATGTTTTTACCTGTCTTACGTGAAACATCCTCTTATACTAAAAAACTTTTTTATTTTGAAATAATTTTAAAATTACAGAAAAGTTTCAAAAGTAATACAGAGTTCCCTATTGCCTCCATTAATAATTTTTTACATACCATAGCGCAATTATCAAAAGCAAGAAGTTAATATTAGTATAATACTATTAACTGAATTACTAACTTGTGATTTTTTTTCCTGTATTAATGTCCTTTTTCTATTCTAGGATCCACTCTAAGACCCGACATTGCAGTTAGTTGTCTTGGGTCCTTGGTCTCCTCCAGTCTGTGACAGTTCCTCTGTCTTTTCCTGTCTTTACACTGATAGTCTTTTTCTGTCTTTATACTCTTTCTGATCTTTACACTTTTGAAGAATGCTGGTCAGTTATTTTGTAGAGTGCCCCTCAAATGGGGTTTGTCCAGTGTTCTCTCATGATTAGATTAAGGTTATACATTTTTGTTAAGAACACAAAAGTGTGTGTGCCCTTCTCAGTTCATCATATGAGCATAGCTGATATATATGACTTATTGCTCGTGAGGTTAATCTTGATCACTTGGTAGAGAGTGTCTGCTGGGATTCTCCAATGTAAAGGTCTTATTTTTCTCCTTATAATTGACATCTTGGGGGGGAGCTTTTAAACCGTACGCATATCCTGTTTCTCCTCAGACTTTCCCTTGCTAAATTTCACATCCATTGGTGGATCTTGCCTTCAGCAATTATTATGACTATGGTGTTCTAATGATGATTTTCTACTTTCCTCATTTCTTTATTAATTGAAATTATTCTGTAAGGATGAGCTGCCCATTTCCCATTTGTTTATTTGTATTCCGTTATTTATTTGTATCCATGTGGACTTAGATGTTTTTCTATTGGTTGTTATCCTACACTTGTGTTATTTTATGTTTGAAATTGTTCCAGCTTTGATCATTGGGAGTTTTCTTTCAGGTTGCTTTCTGTAGCTTTTCAGCATGCTTCCATCCTTTTTTTTCTTTTTTGGAACTTCCTAATTTTCTGGTACCATAGGATGCCCCAGGCTCATCTTGTGTTTTCTGTGCCTCAGCCCTGATAGTCAGCCACTTCTCCAACGACCCGTAGTTTCTTTTTTTGGAGAATAGTATTTAAACACAAAGATCTGTGCTCTAGGGATGCTCATTGCTACTGGGGTAACATTGCTTCCAGGGCCCCACAGAAGACACCAGTCTATACATATGCATACCCATGCATACACAAAGATCTATGTTTATTTCTGTATTTGTCTATCCATATACTTTTTAAAAACAAAAGTTCATCCCAGTAGCTTTGCTTCTAGTCTAACACCACAGGGTTCATTCTAGTTTTGTCCCTTATTTTTAACTTTTTATCTGACAGTGAGAAATCTGACTCTTGGCATTCTACAAAATATTTTCTTATTTCTTCAGTCCTAGTATACACATAAAGTAATTTCAGGATTTCTGACCTATGTTCCTGTGAGAAACACATTTACTAAATAGAGTACAGTGTAGTTCTTTTTGTCTCTAGGCTTATAGTATTCAGTTAAAATATTGTTTTCTAAAGTGGCTTAGATAATTTTTCTTCCTCACTTCTTTCAGTGTGGTTATGCTATTCGTTTATAATACAGTTTATGTTTTTATAGTTTATATTCCATTTTGGAGGGAAAGAGTCTAAAGGTAGACTAATTGAAGCTCCATTATCATGGCTATGCATATTGTGCTATTTGACTAGAGTGATAGGATTAGCAATTGTATAGAAGGGACGTGTGAAGAAATATTTTAGTTCAGGCAGCATCTATTGAACAACAGGTGTGTTCAAAAAACATTTTGATAGGAATGATGGTAGATATAAAGATAATCTCTTTGTGGTATAGAAGAAAAGAAAAGAGGCAGTGTGATAGATTGGGAAATGTTAATGTTAGACAAATAATTGATACATTTAACATGTAATAGCCTTTTATGAGTTAATAAGAGAAAGACATCCCCTGTAGTAAAAACAGATGCATATGACATGAACAGGCAATTCATGAAAGAAGAAATGCAATGAGTACAAAAAAATAGTGATAGAGGATGAATAAAATATAGTACTTGATAGCCGAACAGGGTGACTATAATAATTCAATTGTATATTTAAAAATAACTAAAAGAGTATAACTGGATTGTTTGCAACACAAAGAATAAATGCTTGAGGTGATGGATACCTCATTTACCCTAATGTGATTATTACACATTGTATGCCTGTATCAAAATAACTCAAATATCCCATAAATATATACCTACTACTAATATATACCCACAAAAATTAAAAATTAAAAAAAGAAGAAATGCAGCTGGGCATGGTGCCTCACACTTGTAATCCTAGCACTTTGGGAGGCCGAGGCAGGTGGATCACCTGAGGTCGGGAGTTCGAGACCAGCCTGGCCAACATGGTGAAACCCCGTCTCTACTAAAAATACAAAAATTAGCTGGGCGTGGTGGCACGTGCCTGTAATCCCAGCTACTTGGGAGGCTGAGGCAGGAGAGTCACTTGAACCTAAGGGGCGGAGGTTGCAGTGAGCTGAGATCGCACCACTTCACTCCAGCCTGGGCAAAAGAGTGAGACTCCGTCTCAAAACAAAAAAAAAGAAAAAAAAAAAAGAAATGCAAATGGCTGATAAATCCACCCTGTTAGTAATTTAAGGAATGCAAAGTAAAGCAATAATGAGACATCATTTTTTTCACCAATGACATGTCTAAGAATGATAATACTAAGTATATTGCTTGGAATATGGATAAATGGACATTGTGTTATGTTTCTGGTAGGAACATAATAGGCATAACCTTTTGTGGGATATGGCTATATATATGTTTTAAAAACCTTGAAAAATCTGTCTACCTAATAATTCTATTTCTAGATATTTATTTTTTATTTTTATGTTACTTTTTTCAATTAATACACAATAATTTTACATATTTATAGGATACATGTGATGTTTTGATACATACATACAATGTGTAATGATCAAATCAGGGTATTTGGGATATATATCATGTCAAACATTTATTATTTCTTTGTGTTAGGAGCACTTCAGATCTTCTAGCTATTTTGAAATATGCAATAAATTATTGTTAACTATAGCTACCTCACTGTGTTATTAAACATGAATAATGTATTCCTTCTATCTAACTGTATGTTTGTACCCATTAATCAACTTCTCTTCACCCCTCCTGCCCCTTCCCATCACTCTACTCTCTACCTCCAGGAGATCAACTTTTTTCCCCCTTTTTATTTAGAAATGGAGGTCTCATTATATTGCCCAGGCTGGCTTCTAATTTCTGGGCTCAAGTGATCCTCCTACCTCGGCTTCCTGAGTAGCTGGGAGTACAGGCTAGATGTTCCATCCATGTTGTTGTAAATGACAGGATTTCATTCTTTTTTTTTTTTTTCTCCCTAGACGGAGTCTCGCTCTGTTGCCCAAGCTGGAGTGCAGTGGTGAGATCTGGGTTCACCGCAACCTCCGCCTCCTGGGTTCAAGCGATTCTCCTGCCTCAGCCTCCGGAGCAGCTGGGAATACAGGTGCATGCCACCACGCCTGGCTAATTTTTTGTATTTTTTAGTAGAGACGGGGTTTCACCATGTTAGCCAGGATGGTCTCGATCTCCTGACCTGATCGGCCCGCCTCCACCTCCCAAAGTGCTGGGATTATAGGCATGAGCCATCGCGCCTGACCCATTCTTTTTTTTAATGGCTGAACGGTATTTCATTGTGTATATACACCACATTTTCTTTATCCAGTCATCCATTGACAGACACTTAGGTTGATTCCATATCTTGGCTATTGTGAATGCTGCTGCAATAAACATGGGGCTGTAGGTATCTCTTTGATATACTGATTTTTTTTCCTTTGGATAAATACCCAGTAGTGGGATTGCTGGATCATATGGTAGTTTTATTTTTAATTTTTTGAGAAGCCTCTGTACAGTTTTTCTTTCTTTTTTTGAGACAGGATCTCACTGTGTTGCCTAGGCTGTAGTGTAGTAGTAAGAACACTGTTTCTTGCAGGCTCACACTTTAGGGCTCAAGGGATCTTCCCACCTTGGTGTCACTGGGACTACAGGCACCCACCACCACACCCAGCTAATTTTTAAATTTTTCAGAGAAGAAGGATCTTGCTATGTTGCCCAGGCTGCCCTCAAACTCTTGGCCTCAAGTGATCCTCCTGCTTCAGCCTTCCAAAGTGCTGGAATTACAGCTATGAGCCAGCGTACCCAGCCCATACTGTTTTTCATAATGGCTGTACTAATTTACATTCCCACCAACAGTGTATAAGAGTCCTCTTTCTCGCCAGGCGTCGTGGCTCACGCCTGTAATCCCGGCACTTTGGGAGGCCGAGGCAGGTGGATCACCTGAGGTCAGGAGTTCGAGACCAGCTTGGCCAACATGGCAAAATCCCGTCTCTACTAAAAACAAAAAATTAGCTGGGCGTGGTGGCATGTGCCTGTAATCCCAGCTACTCAGGAGGCTGAGGCAGGAGAACTGCTTGAACCCGGGAGGCAGAGGTTGCAGTAAGCTGAGCTCGTGCCACTGCACTCCAGCCTGGGTGACAAGAGCGAAAATCTATCTAAAAAGAAAAAAAAAAAAAGAGGCCTCTTTTGCTACATCCTCACCAGCATTTGTTATTTTTTATCCGTTTGGTGATAGCTATTGTAACTGGGGTGAGATGGTATCTCATTGTGGTTTTTATTTGCATTTCCCTGATGATTAATGATGTTGAGCATTAAAAAAAATACCTTTTGGTCATTTGTATGTCTTCTTTTGAGAAATGTCTATTCAGATTCTTTGCCCACTTTTTAATGGAACTATTTGTTTCTTTGCTGTTGAGTTGTTTGAGTTTCTCATACATTCTAGATATTAGTCCCTTGTTGGATGACTAGTTGGCAAATATTTTCTCCCTTTATACAGGTTGTGTCTTTGTTGATTGTTTTAAAGAAATAATTATAGGCAGCAGTATGGATTTATGTGTAAGCAGGGTAATTACACTGTAGTTTATAATAGTGGAAAATTAGAAACAACCTAAATAGCCAATAATAGCCAATTTGTAAAATTGTGAAGCATCTACGTAATTATAGAAAATTATTTACATGGAAACATTTTTATTATACTTCATCACACTATTCAAAATAAATGTTTTATTTTCTTTGTTCTTTCATCCACCCATTTATTCTATCCGTTAACAGTTTATTCTATTCATTGCTCCTTGCTATTCCACTCCTTTGGGTTTATTTTCTTTATTGTTGAAATATTCCTTTAAGTACTTTTAATGAGGGGCTTGGTAATAAACTCTCTTAGTCCTTGTATGTCTGAAAATGATTATTTTGCTTTCATTTTAAATGATAATTTACCTGGGAATATACCAACTCTCTCAGCACTTTGAAGGTATTTCTGTCTTTTAATATCTTGCTTTTAAAAGCAATATATTATTGCTTTGTCAGTCTTTTATGTCTCATTTTTTTAATGATTCTTGTTCTTTAATGTTTTGCAATTTCCCTTCCATGTATTTAGGCAAATTTGGTTTCTTTTTAATGTATGCTACTTGAGGCTGATGTGCTTTTTCAGTTTGAGGTCTTACATTTTAATTATCAGTATATTCTCTTTGAATAATTCCTTCTTACTGTTTTCTTTGTTCTTTCTTTCTGGGACTTCTACTTGTTATTAAGCTTCTGATTTTATCCTTTATGTCTTTTATCTTCTTTTTTATACTTTTCATCTTTTTATTCCTCTGTGTTCTGAGTGATTTCTTCCAATCAATAATTGTTTCTTATCTATATAATTTACTGTTTAACACATCTTTTGAGATTTTCATTTCTAGAAGTTTTACTTGTTTTATATTCAGGCTGGCCTCTTACTGTTTCATAATATCTATTTTTTTAAAAGATTCTGTTCCTTTTTGGAATAGAATGTTTTTGGATATTTAAAAATATACTTACTTTAGTTTCTTTTTAAAATTATTTTATTATCTTTCGTCCATTAGGTATGAATTTTCCTGTTTTGTTGGGTCTGTGGATGGTCTCTTTTGGTAATGAATTTCTCCATATGTCCCCAGTTTCCATTCACTGTTGCACCTGTTTTACCCTCTTTGTTTTTGTACCTGGAGATTTTCCTTTTTGACTTTTGAGCCTTGTATCAAACATAAAAACCAAGTTACTAATGGGTAGGTATTGGAGGCAGTCTATATAACCAACACATCAAGATTTTCAACTGTGAAAGAAAGGGGATAAATATTTAATGTTTTGGGGATGATAGATCTCTGAGAATCCCTTGAAACAATGGACTCTATTCTCCAAAATAAACTATATTCACTTTTTTTTTCTTTTTTTTTTTTTGTAGAGATGGGATTTTGGCATGTTGCCCAGGCTGGCCATGAACTCCTGGGCTCAAGTGGTCCTCCCGCCTTGGCCTCCCAAAGTGCTGGTATTACAGACATGAGCCACCGTACCCGGCCCCTTCATTCACAATTTTTCATAAAGATTCAGTGGCTCCACAAAGTCTGTATGTGAATTCCTATCTTTATAGACCCTGGACTAAGACAGCATAACTCAGCAGTATTAACATACTCAACTTAAAATTTTTTAAACATGGGTGAGGTTGTGGCTAATGAAATGGCATGAAAGCATGGTGTACAATGGTGGCTTTCAAGCTTGGTTAAGCTGTGAAGCCCATTATTTATATAAGCTCTGATAAGCTCCAATTCATAAAATAGTTGTAAGTAAAGTTTCTACAACTGAAGTAGGGAGTGGAGTCCTGGAACCTACTCACCTCTAGCCCCTACGCTTGTACTCTGGCCCCAAATGCATACCCTTGGACTTTCTGGAACACTAGTAGGAAACTACTGGTGAAGTGGAAAAAGTATTTCAATGTAATTTCAGAAAATCTGGGTTCTTATTCCAGCTCTGTCACTGGTTTTTTGAATCAGTTGTAGGCAATACTAATCACTTTATTGAAAATGGAAGAGGCAGTTTAAAGCACATCAATGAGAAAAGTTGCATATTATGTTATCATATATTTGAAGTTGTGTAATTACAAAGTTACATTATGATGACATTAGACATGAAGTTTGATACAAGCATCAGTGTTAAGCCATTTGATACCTTTTTTAAAAAGGTTATTCAATGTCCAAGATAGATCAGAAAATGAAAACTTGGACAGTATACTCCTAGCTTTTTTAAAAGTATTTATATACATACATACCTACTTACATAGAAAAAGACCTGGAGAGACGTATGCCAAAATGTAAAGAGTACATTTTGTACTCTTTGTAAAAGGTGAGGAGATGACTGCTGACTTTATTTAATTCTTCATTTATTTATATTGTCTGAACATTCTAAAATATAATTTTTGTAAAGAGAAAAAGATTTAAAAATCAGTGGTTTCATAAAGAAAAAAACAAGTCACTCAAGGTCAGCATTAGAAATATTCTATTTATTGATTTAGAATAAATTGTAAAACTAATCGTTGGCTTTTAAAAATAGTGGAAACAGATTTGAAAACATTCTTAAAGAAATATTTTTCTTTTAGGTTTTTCTATATGAGTGGAGAAGACAGCTGTTACCAGGGAGGTCATACAACATTTTTTTAGGATGTCTGAAGATGAAGAAAAAGTGAAATTACGCCGTCTTGAACCAGCTATCCAGAAATTCATTAAGATAGTAATCCCAACAGACCTGGAAAGGTTAAGAAAGCACCAGATAAATATTGAGAAGGTGAGCTGTTTCATTTACTACCACAAGAAATAGTTACATAGTTTGATTTATATTGGTTGTTCATTTCAGCTAAATTTAGAATATTAGATAAGAGGCATTGCTGAAACACCTAGCTCCTATTGATTTAGCAACATTATGCATTTTTTAGCTGGTTTTTCTGTTCTGCATATATACCTCTCATATATTCCTTTTTCTGGGAAGGGATATAGGAATAGAGTCTATGCTTTTTTGTTTGTTTGTTTGTTTGAGAGACAAGGTCTTGCTCTGTTGCCCAGGCTGGAGTGCAGTGGCATGATCATAGCCTACTGCAACCTCAAACTTCTGGGCTCAAGCTATCTACACACCACTATCCGTGGCTAACTTATTTTTATTTTTTTGGAGAAACAAGTTCTTGCTTTGTTGCCCAGGCTGGTCTTGAACTCCTGGCCTCAAGCTGTCCTCCTGTTTTGCCTTCCAAAGTGTTGGGATTACAGGTGTGAGCCGTGGCGCCTGGCCAAGTCTATACCTTTTTAATTGTACATATTGAGGTTTTAGGCAGTTAATAATTAAGATACAAATTGATTGATGGTGCACTATAATGTAAAGGCAGAGAACTTTGGCTAATGTACCTGCCTTAATTTCATTCACCCCATGGCAAGTTTTTGAACTTTGAGTGTGTGTCTTTCAGTAACTCGTATTCTCTTTAGGTATACATACATTAAAGAAGTAAATCATTGTGAGATATGAGGGAATTTCCTTACTTCACAGCTTCCCTTTGAGGAAAGCTCACAATTGAGAAGTACTGCCTAATTCAGTTGAGGAAATAGGTAAGGAGAAGATGAATTAGTCTCAGGGACTATGATAGAGGTTGCATAGAACCTACCATGCTCCGGTGAAGTGGCTGTGGCATTTTTGGAAACATCAAGTTTACTCAGTACTGAGCATTAATTTGGCAGATTATGTTGTCTTATTTGCTGTGGGACAGGCCAGTGATATTTTTTGTTTCAAAAAGACTTTTCCCAGCATAAGTCTTAAGCTGCAGAACCTCCATTTATTTATTTATTTATTTATTTATTTATTTATTTATTTATTCATTCATTCATTCATTCATTCATTCATTCATTCTTTTGAAGGTTGGGAGTGGAGGATATGGTCATTAAGCCTTTCAATATAAACATTATTCATTACTCAACTCAGTAGCATATAGAAGTCAGAAAAGTGTACCTTTTTCTTCCATAGATACCATCTGTCTTTCTAGAATTCAAGTCCTTTTAAAAGTGGAGAAAATCAGTTCTGAGAATATTAAAATGAAAAGTTTAATGCGAATATTTGAAGTCTTTCTAGAATTTAGGATTAGTATTTTGTCATCCTTGAATTTCTTCTTTACTTACAAGCAATAAGTAATACTGTGACTTTTAAGGATGGATAAGGAGTTGTTTAGTAAATGGGTTCTTTTTAACATGAATGGAAGCAAATTAAGGCCATTTCTTTCCTTTGTTGTCCTACTTTTCCTTTGAGGTTTGGCATGTCTGTCTTAGATTTCCTTTTTCTTATGTTTATTCTATACAAAAATGCCTGCTGTCAGTACCCTCAGATCCTTGCTACATGTACCACCCAATCAGTCATCAATGGAAAAGCCAGGTGGGTGGGGATAGAATGGTTATATTACTGATTTTATTAGTTGTGCCAGAAGTCACAAGAAGATTATTCCAGAGTTACATCCATCCATCTCTGCCAGACATTTTTTTCTTTAGCATTTTATGAAATTTTTACTTACTGTGGAATTTTTAGACAGTATCAGAATAATTATAATGTAGGTGATATCATCTTAAGCCAAACAGTTAATTTTATACTGATCTAGGTTTTATTCCATATCCTTGATCATTCCACTGTCTCTAGGATGTCTAGCTTAATTATAAAAGTGACTTTTTTTTATCTATATAGGATTGAATAGCTTATTTTAATAGATATGTTATGGAAATGTAAAAACATTTAAAAGCTGCAGGGCTCACTCTGGACAAAAGAGTTAAGAACTAAGTTTGGACTCCAGGTGTCTGACAGTGCCTCACTTTCAAAAAGGCATATTATTCTTAGGGGAAAGGTGTAGAAAGATAAAATATTTATTATGCTGGACATCAGTCATCCAATATGAATTTAAAAGAAGAAAGTCAGACTGAAGGGAAATTGAAGGTAAGCCTTAGTGGAGTGATTCTGCAACATCTGAAAACAATGAGCATAGTGTGCTGTGGACACCTGGAGCTGTATTCCATAGGTCCTTCATTTTATTATACATGATAAACTTGATTAGAATGTAATCCTGAAATTTGAAGTGTTAGCATTCAGCTTTCTTGGCTAATGTAAGATAGACTTAAGCATTGTTAGTAGGAATGACAAGATAGTAAGCTTGGAACATAATTTTCTTTGTTTCGTATTGTAGGGATTTGGGGAAAAACTTACTGTGTAGCACATACTGTATTAGTTATATGGATAAGGTACAAGAGGCAGAAAACTCAAAAATCATATGTTAAATAAGATAGAGGTTTTTGTTTTGTTTTGCTTTTGTTTTTAATCTCATAGTAACAGAGGTAGTCTGGGGTACAGTGGCTGCTCAGCAATCATCAAAGACCCAGGCTGTTTTTATCTTGCTCTCCCATCCTCAACTTGGTTCTACCTTGTGTGTAAAATGGCTACTCCAGCACCAGCCATCACATCCACATTCCAGCTTGGATGGAATAACCAGAATCATACCTTTTCTATGTTCTTTTTTCTCTCAGTGCATTTGTTGTCTCTCTCTCTTTTTAAAATAGAGACAGAGTCTCACTCTGTTGCCCAGGCTGGAGTGCAGTGGTGCAATCATAGCTCACTGTAATGTTAAACTCCTAAGTTAAAGCAATCCTCCTGTCTCAGCTTCCTGAATAGCTAAGACTTCAGGTGTCCTCTACCATGTTCAGCTAATTTTTAAATATTTTTGTAGAGACGGGGTCTCACTATGCTGCCCAGGCCTATCTCATCTCAAAGCCCTGGCCTCAAGTGATCCTCCTGTGTTGGCCTCTCAAAGTGCTAGGATTACGGATGTGAACAACCATGTCTGGCCTCTCCTTTTCTTTTAAAGAGAATTCTGTTTTCATTTCGTGGATGCTGTATCATAACATCTTTCTATAGTTTTTTTTTTTTTGTAAGTTTTCTTCTGCTTCTTTGTCCTGTTTTTCCCAAGTCCCTTTTTTCTTTCTTCTCTCTCTCTCTTTCTTCTGTTTCAGCATATAGTATTATAGGCTTTTCTTGGCTGGCTTTTGATATTTAAGAGTGCTGATTGGAAAGTATGTGTGTAAATGTGTTTGTGTGTATGCATGTGGGTAGCAGGTTAGGGTGGGGGCTTTGCTGTCTGGAGGGGTGAATAGCTGAGAATCTATTTTAATTGGAGAACCACTAGATGTCAGTAACTCTAGGTCTTGTTAGCTGTTCAGTTTTAAGAAAGAGCAGTCCTCCATCTCCTACCTGTTGGGGTGTGTTTATTTTTTCAAAGGCGATAGTTGTGGCAGGGGTTGGGTGAGGAGCTTGGAGGGGTGGATATAGTATGAATTTTGTGACCAGCCTTTTAAGCCAGGGGAAGGAAAGTAGGTGAAGAGGTGAACAGGCTCACCACCATTCAGATATTTATTGTCCAGGCTTAATCTTCCTGGTTGTGGTGTGGTAACTGATCCCTGCCCTTAGCTGTGCTTGGTATCCAGTGTCCTTAGCTTCTCTAGCCTCTCCAGAGGCTGTCTTCTATAGTATTGTCTTGTGCAGTGATGGAACAGGGCAGTTACTCGGGCAAGTATAGAGGGGATCTGGTGGACTACCCGTTCATTACATAAACTTTCAACCAATCCTTTTGCTTTTTGCCCCACCATGCACTTCCATCTGGTTACCTGGTAGCTGGTACCTTCAGTTGCTTAGTCGTTTTTTAGAGACGAGGTCTCACCATGCTGCCCAGGCCCATCCCATCTCAAAGCGCTGGCCTCAAGTGATCCTCCTGCATTGGCCTCTCAAAGTGCTAGGATTACAGACATGAACAACCATGCTTGGCTGTGGCTTGCTTCTCATTGCCACTCTTCCCTACCATGTACCCCTTTTGCAGGCTTACATTTTAGCTTTCTTTGGTTTGCTGAGTCAGTTACAACATATCCATACTCTTTCTAGCTTCCAAAGTGTTGCAAAATGTTAAATTTTTTTGTCAGTTGATGTCTTCTATTCTCATTCTTGTGAATTTATACTTTCTAAAGTTCTTTGTTGTCATTTAGTGGGATTTTGGAAAAGAGTAGAGATGAATATTTGTGTTGAATCTGCCAGGTTTAATGAGAAGGGAGATTATTTATTATAGGAAATAAATGTTAGCTTTTCGTAAATATTTATTGATGTTTGCTATTTCTTAGATTGTTAGCATTGAGGAATATGTAAAAGATAGATTTTTAATTCTCAAGAAGTTTGCAGTCCAGTTAAGGAAATAAGATAGGAAATAGTCAAAAAATGATAAGAGGCAGCATATAATTACTATGAAAATGGATGGCATGGGCTATTCAAGCAACATGAAATCTGAACTATATAGTATAAAATCAGACATAATCAGTCTTATTTATTGTTAATCTGTGATTACAATGAAAGTATTTTTCATTTCTCTTTTTAGTGTGTGAATATCTGCTTTGATCTTTTAATCACCTTTCCCAACCTCGTTCCTTTTTTCTGACAGAACCCCATTCAGTTTCCTTCCTTTGTGTTTCAAGATAGGCAAGCCTCAGCACAGGTGGTGAATGATAATGGTCTGATAAATGTGGTAATTCCAATCTTGTCAGTGTTTGGTTACCAGTGAACAATAGACATATCCTGTAGTTCTGGCCAGTTATACCTGAGGGAAAACCTGTTTGGGGTGTGGAAACTGGAAAGATTTTCCTACTGTTATGAAGATATACAGATATGCGTGGAAGGAAACAGTCCTCTTCTTCTTCTTGGTCTTGTGTGTCTTCCTGTTGTATCTAGAACTGTAACCAATCCTCTTGCAGCTATTAGGGGACAAAATCTGAGGACAAAAGCTCCTTATTGAAAGTAGTAAAGCAGCAACATAGAACTTGGACACTTAATGACCTTGTAAGCTTCTGAATTAAACTAATGTAGAATTATTCTACTTCTAGATTGCTTTGTATGTGAGATAATAAATACTTATTATTAAAGCCATTTTTAACTTTGGGTTTTCTGTTGTTTGCAACCCAAAGCATAGTAATTGGCTAAATTATGGCACTACTTCAAACTACCTCTCTAGTGCCACCATGCAAAGAGACAGTACCAAAATGATACTTTGTAAAAGTAGTGCTGTTTAGCAATGCTTGTCAGGGATCTCAACTTAACTAAATTTGTAAGGAGTTACTTGTAATTTTTTTCACACATATCACTAAATCATTTTAAGTTTTTTCTCCTCCTCAAATATTTGGATTGATAACTTTTAATAGTGTATCCTAATTTAGTTATAAAATCATGTAAACAGTAGGAATCTGAATTATTCCTTATTTTTCTTGTAATTTGTTGTAATAAGAAATAAGTTCATCTAGTTCATCCTCCACTTGAAATAGGAATCTCTTCTAGTTTTCTTGACAGGTGAGAAAATAATAACAGTGGAGGTAGTAGTTGTTTTCATTTGCTGAGTGCTGTGTTAGGTGTTTTTATATATCATAGCATTTAATCCTTATAGCATCATTATAGGTTAGTTATTGTTACTGCCTTCGCTTTTTAGGTGGAGAAAGATTTAGAGTAAATTACTTGCTTGAGATCCCTATGTTAGTAAATGTGTTAAACTTCTAACATGCTTGAAATGTAGTGTGCTTCTGAAAAAAAGTGTGTTGAATGAATGAATATACATGTATAGAGCCTAAGATTACATCATTTTAGAAGCCACTCTATACTGACAGCTTTTTAAATTGACTTTGTAATCAATTAAATGAATTCCATAAGACTTTTTTTTATATGAATTACATGTATTGAATCAGATCACACCTATTTCTTATACTGGTGCAAT
This sequence comes from Homo sapiens, assembly GCF_000001405.40. Classification (NCBI taxonomy): domain Eukaryota; kingdom Metazoa; phylum Chordata; class Mammalia; order Primates; family Hominidae; genus Homo; species Homo sapiens. The sequence continues at coordinate 99,921,385 of NC_000009.12, forward strand.
TGCTCTTTTTAATTTAAATGCTGGACTTTACAGTTATCATTGTTATATTTGTTATTATATGGAATTGTGACCTTTCATCTATGTTAATCCTTCTAATTTATGTTATGTGCAAATTTGATAATTATGCATTCTTTGTTTTGAAGTCATTGATGAAAATGTTGGACAGGAAAGGGCCAGAGCACACTGGTATACTGTCACCATTTCCACACGCTCTCCCAAACCATCTCACTAATTATCTAGTATGGAATTTTCCCCAGGATTCACATTAAGATTTACAGCCTGCAGTGTTTTAAATATACTTTCTTTTGTGAAAATTGGGTCAATATTTGCAAGTCTTTAGGAACCTTACCAATTCTTTGCAGTTCTTCATAGATAAGCAGAGATATTTCTGTGATCACATTTGCAAGGTCTTTTGGTTCTCTCGAGTGTAATTTCCCTGGGCCTGTTGACTTGAACTCATCTGAAGTATCTAGGTTTGTTCTTAATCTTCCTTTGTTTTTATTTTCCTCTTAATCATTTTATTTTAGATTTTTGTATTTTGAAGATCATTTTCCTCAGTAAAGAAGGAAGGTGGAAAAAATATGGAGTTGAATAGTTTTGCTTTCTCTTTTACATCCATTGACAATATCCACCCTATCATTTGTCACCTTTCAGACACTGTTTATTGCATAGCTCAGTTACTTCCTACTCAGCACGTCCTGATGATACCATCCCCAGTCAGATATAAACACACCACCCTTACACAGTACTGGGCCACAGACCTTAAGGTTCATAGATTTAACATTAACATGTTTGTTGTTTTTGTTTTGCCTTTCAGATTATTTATCTCCTGGTCATCAAAGATTTCCTTTTTTTATTTACCCAAAGGGGACAGGAGTCAGTCTGTGTATTGGAAGATGTGACCATATTTGGTGAGAGTGGAGGGGTAGAAAATATTTTGCAAATGAGGGATGTTTACTGCCTTCCTGACTGTAGACTGAAGGAGGCAAGGACTTTGACATTTTCCCCAACGCCTATCTGTATTTCCAATGCCTGTCACATAGTACGTGCTCAATGGATATTGATTGAACTAACTAAAATTGTCCTTATCTACTGTCAAACTATAACAACCTAGAAGGGTATATTCTTGCTGAACGAGAACATCAAGAAGACAGGAAGGAAGCTGAAGATATCTCTGTCAAGTCATCCTCTGTGTCTGTCATGTGTCCCACATGTGTAGTCCTAAATGCCACTGTCTCACAGTTGGCCTCTTATCAGGACCTAAGCCCTGTGGAGACAGCAACTTGCAGAGCCCCATTCCAGGGGCAGCAAGGGGTGGGCAAGATGGAATCACTCAGCTTAAGGAAGGTCTTCCCCATCTATGCTTTTGAAGAAGGGAGAAGTGGGACTATCATTCACTAGTCTAATCTTACTGCTAAAATTAGACTGAGTGCTCCATCTCCAAACCTGGAGGGCCATGGTGTGGTGTGTGTCACACAAGCCAAAAGTTGTTCTTCCCAAGGTCTGGGCAGTGGAAGCAGTATAAACACTGATGAATAAACTCATCTGAATTTTAAAAAGATGAAGAAAATTGTTCCTGTCCCCTGGTGGAACTTTTCAAGTGACATTGACAAATAAACCTCTCAAAACCTGTAGAACCAATTTTTTTTTTACAACACTTTTTTATTCCCTTTTCTATGTCCTCCTTTTCCTCCTCCTTCATCTTCTATTTCTTTTCTCTCTTTCCTTTCCTCTCTTTTTTTTCTTCCAACTTTTATTTTAGGTTCAGGGAGTATATGGGCAGGAATATCACATGGGTAAATTGTGTGTTGCTGGGGTTTGATGTACAAATGATTTCACCAGGTAGTGAGCGTAGTACTTGAACATTCACATTTTAATAATTCATGGGAAAGCTGCAAATGTCTATGATATTAGACAGTTGTAATAGTAAAATTATAATCTTCCTCATAAGATTATTGTGAAGATTAAGATATTATATGAAAAAAACCTGCATGCAAGGTTGATACTTGGAAGTGGAGAATATAGCAAGTAAGTTAGGTTACCCAGGCATTCAGCATAGGCACTGTGAATGGAAAAATCAACACACAACATGTTTTCTCTTATACTCTCACTCAACAACAACAGTCACCAACACAGAAGACTTCTGTGACCAAATGTGTGTGAGTTTCTCCCCATATTTCAAGCAAGCAATCAGTTCAACAGACCCTAGCTTAGGTATCTTCTAGTTGAATTCAATTCTGGTGCTGTCTACCTAGAGATAGCCTCAGAAACCACAGTTTGAGAGTCAAGTCCCACAAGACCACACCCTTCCCTCCCACCAGTCACAAGTCCAGGCCCTTGGAACTTCTAAACAACCAGCTTCAAGTTGGAGTTCCCACGATCCCTTTTTGGGCTTGATTAATTTGCTGGGATGGCTCACAGAACTCAGGGAGACAATTTACCAGTTCTTTATAAAGGATATTACAAGGGATACAGCTGAAGAGATGCATAAGGTGAGGTATGAGGGAATGGGTGCAGAGCTTCCATGTCCTCCCTGGAGACACCACCCTTCAGGAACCTCCATGTGATCATCTCTCTGGAAGCTCTCTAAATTCTGTCCTCTTGTACCTCTTATGGAGACTTTATTGGATAGGCATGATGGAAGCATAGACAACCATGTCAAAATGTGATTGGACAAAAAGGGTATGATCTAATACTAACAGACTGAGTGGAGAAACCCAACAAGGCCTGTCTGTTCAGATTCTTATTGGCCTCTCCATGTAACATTTCTTCCTCCAGGGTATGGGGCAGGACCCCCTCTGGAATGAGTGTCTTATGACCCACAATCAGTTTAGAGTCCCGCCATTGGCAGGTTCGGAGGGCAGGAGGTCAGAGAGAGATTCTGTTTCCTGAGGTCTACTTTGGACACTGAAAGTGCCCCAGCATTGTAACAAAAGACATGTGTCTGTCATGTGTCCCACGTGGGCCATGGGAGTTATGATCAAGGAACTGTGGACAAAGACCAATGTATATATATTATATATATGTAATATTTATATAATCATAATATCACGGACACCATCAGTTAATAGTTTCTAATGCATTAGATTCAGAACATTCCTGAGATATATTCTTTGTGTTGTTGGTTTTGTATTTTTGATATTTGGTAAGCATAGTGAGTTGAGTTACTCTTACCTACCCTATGGGGTAGATATTATTTATCTTCATGATACAAGTAATTCTCAGTTTATGGCCTGCAATCATTGGGCCACCTTTTAATATTATGTAGCTTTCTGTAGATTCTTTGATATTTTCTATGTAGACAATCATGTAATCTGTGAAGACAATTTTATTTTTTTCTAGCCTTTGCCCCACCCACCCTCTCTCCCTTCTTTCATCCTTCCTTCCTTTTTTAACCTTATTGCCCTGGCTAGGGCCTCCAGTATGAAGTTGAGTAAGAATGGTGAGATCAGACATCCTTACCTTCTTCCCAATATTAGAGAATGGTCTTTCACCACTTAAGTATGGTGTTAAATGTAGGGTTTTTGTAGATTCCTGCTGTCAGGTTGAGGAAGTTAACTTCTATTTTTTAGTTTGCTGAGAGTTTTTATAATGAATAAATGTTCAGTTTTTGTCAAATGATTATCTTTAAATCTACCGTCTTGCTATTTTTGTCTATTTGTCCATCTGTTCTCTTTTCCCTCTTTCTTTTGGATTAATCAAATATTTTTTATGATTCAATTTTTTTCCTTTTGCTGGCTTACTATAGCTCTTGGTTTTTTATTTTTTATTTTTTTAGTGGTTGCTTTATGGTTCAGAGTATACATCTTTAACATCACAGTCTATTTTCAAGTAATGTTATATATTTCACTTCACATATAAGAACCTTCTAACAGTATACTTCTAGGTCCTCTCTTAGGGTCTTTTTGCTGTGGTTGCTATACATTTTACTTCTGCATACATTATCAGCCCCATTTGTTTTTGTTATTTTTGCTTTAAATTGTGTTATTTTTCAAAGAGATTGTAAAAATAAGGAAAAATATTTATATTTACATATGTATCCGTATGTGCCATTTTCAGTGCTCTTCGTTCATTTGTGTAGAATCCGGTTTCTGTCAGGTATCCCCTTTCTATCAACTTGAAGTACTTTTTAAACATTCCTTCTAGCACACCTTTCTGCTGGTGATGGATTCTATCAGCTTTTTAATGTTTAAAAATATCTTTATTTTGCCTTATTTAAAAAACAACTTTCTCTGGGGATAGAATTCTAGGTTGCATTTTCTGTCATTTTCGAATACTTCCAAGATGTTGTCCCACTGTCTTCTGGCTTGGATTGTTTCTCACAAGAAGTCTTCTGTCATTCTTATCTTTGTTTCTTCGTATTTCATGTGTCTTTTTTCTTCCCGTTTTTAAGATGTTTTTCTTTATTTATTTTAAGTAATTTTACTGTAATGTGCATTAGTATAGCTTTCTTCATTTTTCTTGTCCTTTGAGCTTCTTGGATCTATGGTTTTCTCATTTTTCTCAAATGTAGAAAATCTTTGGCGTTAAGTTTTTCAAATTATTTTTCTCTCATGGAGTCCAGTTACATGTATTTTATGTTGTTTTCATTTGGCCCATGACTATTGATCTTGGTTAATTTATTTTCAACTTATTTTTCTCTGTGTGTTTCATTTTGGATAGTTTCTATTGCTGTGTCCTTAGGTTTACTAATCTTTTCTTCTGCATTGTCTTATCTGCTATTAATCCCATCTAGTGCATTTTTTAATTTCAGGTACTCTTTTTTTAAATTCTATTAATTTAATATTTTAAAATATCTTATATGGCTTTTCTTCTAATGTGCTTATATTTTCTTCTACCTTCTTAAATACATGGAACATATCATAATAACTGTTTTTAATATCCTCATTTATTAATTCCATTATCCCTATCATATCTGGGTCTATTTCTGTTGATTGGTTTTTCTCATTGCAGATCATGTTATTCTGCTTTTTTGCATGCATGGCAATTATCTTTTGGATACCAGACATTGTGAAATTTACTTTATTGGGTACTGAATATTTTTTAATTTATTTAAATATTTTTTAGCTTTATTCTGAAACACAGTTTCGTTGGGAACAGTTTGATCCTTTTGAGTCTTTCTTTTTTTTTTTTGACAGAGTCTTGCTCTGTTGCCCAGGCTGGAGTGCAGTGACATAATCTGGGCTCACTGCAAGCTCTGCCTCCTAGGTTCCTGCCATTCTCCTGCCTCAGCCTCCTGAGTAGCTGGGACTACAGGTGCCTGTCACCACACCCGGCTAATTTTTTTGTATTTTTAGTAGAGACGGGGTTTCACCATATTAGCCAGGATGGTCTTGATATCCTGACCTTGTGATCCGCCCGCTTCAGCCTCCCAAAGTGCTGGGATTACAGGCGTGAGCCACTGCGCCCAGCCTTGAGTCTTTCTTTTAACCTTTCTTGCTTAGGACCAGAACAGCCTTTAGTTCAGGGCTAATTTTTTCCTACAGAGAGCAATACTTTGGAGTATTCTACCTGATACTCAGTGTATTCCAAGGTTTTTCCACTCTGACTTGTGGTCACATGTACCATTTCTAGCCTTGGGTGATCTTCAGGAATTATTCTACCTGTTCTTTTTCTGACCACGGGTTGTTCCCTCACATGCATGTGTGGAGGAGTCCTTTGTTGAAGACTCAAAAGGAAAACCCTGCAGATCTCTGGAGTTCTCTCTCAGTGTATTCCTCTCCTCTCAGTGCAACTAGCCCTTCACCATGCAGCCTTCTCCTCTCTGGTATTCTCTGATCCATGAATTCTGATAGCCTTGGCATCTACACATTCTCAACTCTGTTTCCTTAGTGTTAATTTTTCTTAAAATATCGCAACAGGTTAGTAGTGGGCAATTAATTTAAAAGTGGTTTATTTTCAAACATGAATCTCTGGCTTCCTTTCTCAAACTTTTATTACTGTTATAACACTGCCTAAAAGAGCTTTCACACTGGATCTGATGGCATCAATTAAATTTTTCTTATAAATGAAAGTGGTTTGGTAATGGTTTTAAATTTATGTTTGGTAAATACATTTTCAATATGGTCTAATTTTTTAAAATATTTTTATTTATTTATTTATTTTTTGAGAAGGAGTCTCACTCTGTTGCCCAGGCTGGAGTGCAGTGTGGCACGATCTTGGCTCACTGCAACCTCCACCTCCCAGGTTCAAGCGATCTCCTGCCTCTGCCTCACAAGTAGCTGGGATTACAGGCACCTGCCATCATGCCCAGATAATTTTTTTGTACTTTTAGTAGAGACGGGGTTTCACCATGTTGGCCAGGCTGGTCTCAAACATCTGACCTCAGGTGATCCACCTGCCCCAGCCTCCCAAAGTGCTGGGATTATGGGCATGAGCCACCGCGCCTGGCCGGTCTAATTGTTTTAAGCTTAATAGTTATTGTTTAGTTCTTAGATTATGTAAAAATTTTAGGAGTATCAAAAGAAGTTTTTGCTACATCATTCTTTACCAAATTTTAAGAATGTGCAGAACGAGGAATATAAAAATGCCCTAGAAATTTTTTTTAATGCTCTACTCTTATAATGTATGTTTTCTATGCATATATGAGGGAATTTTTATGTTTCTATCCTTTCAAATTATTTCTAAGTTGATGTTTTGGGAATGTGTAAAGTATCAAAAATGTGTTTAATGTAACTATTCACATCTGCTAACATTTTAATTATTTGATTTTTTAATTTCCAATAAAAATAACATATGATATTTGGTGTTGATGTTTATATTCTATATAAATATTCTGCTATAATATCACATATTCCTATGGTTCCTATCAAATGAAAAAATTCCCATGATTCTGTTCCTAATTCTTTTTGGATGATACTCTGAAAGCTAACAGTTGCCTTGGTAAAAATTAAAACATATATATTAAAAGTGCAGTCTCATTTTTTATTTACTCTCTAGTCTGTGGTTTCAGTGTTATTTTTTTTAAATTCAGATTTTAGTTTTCAATACTTAACACTATCATGACAAACGTACAATTCTTCATATACAATAAGAATATCTTATGAACACTGTTCTTTTCATTTTTTATATTATTTTACATTCTAATTCTTTATATTTTCCATCTCCAGAGAGTTTGCAACATAGACAAAATACATACTCTTTTTCAGTAAAATAAAATAACCTGCTTAGTGGGGTTTTTTTGGTTTATTTTATAATTTCCGTAATTTTGTATGCAACATTCTTAATAATTTCCTACTTGTATGTGTTTGGAAAGTTAATTACCACTACTAAATCACTCTCTTCTCTAGATAGTATGTTTAAGTTTGGGTGGGTGAGTGGGGATTTTTGTGGTAATGGGAAATAACCCTTTAGTGATGAAAAATTTAATACCTCCCTTCTTTCTTTTATATAGTATCAAAGGTGCAGAATCTGGGACAAGTTGCATGAAGAGCATATCAATGCAGGACGTACAGTTCAGGTAAGGCTATTATATTTTTTCTGCTAAATCAGTATGAAAAAGACAGTCTTAAGACAATTTTGCTAAAATATTACCTTTGCAGCTGAACCCTTTTATACACATTTGTTACTATTTACTTGAGGATACATTTTTAGCAGAAATTGCTGAATCACATGCCATACATATTTTCAAAGTTTTGTTTTGTTACCAAATTTTCCTCCAGAAATGATACACAGACTTATACTCTCACAAGCAATACATTTTGTAAAATCCTTTAACATTGGTATTACCCATTTCTTAAATTTTTGCTAATTGATAGGTTAAAATTGTGCCACTTCGTTGTTCTAATCTGGATTTGTAAATACTTTGAAGGGTGAACTTTTTTTCACATTGCCTGGGCAGTAATTTTTTTTTTTTTTGTTAATTGCCTGTTAATATATTTGTATATCTTATATTATGTTGATGTCTTTTGTGAGAGCTCCTTATAATTTGAAAGATACTGATCTTCTGTCTACAATTAGTATTGCAAATATTCTTTGCTAGTTATTTGCTTTTTAAAAATACATTTTAATTATTTTAACATAATTTTTAAAAATAATATATTTACATGGTTTTAAAAGCCAAATACAAATAGAGGGCTTATAATATCCTATATTCTCCACCTACAAGTCCTCCTACTTGGAAGAAACCATTCTTAATCCTTTTGGCCTTTCTCCCTGAAATTTACCTATATTACTAAATAATGTGTAGACTGATATTTCTTGATTAATCAGGTTTAGATTTTTTTTTTCTTATGGTAGGTGGAGCTCTAGGTTCCTACCTTGCTCTCCTACTTCCCTTCCCCCATATAATTACATATATTACAATTTTTGGTTAAATTAATATAATATAAACTCATTATATTGATTATGGAGATATTGTTTTCTGCTGAGTCAAATAGTGAAATACAGTACTAACTTTTACTTTTTAAAAAGTTAATAATTACCTCATTTTTTAGTTGTCTGGCTTTCTGTGTATCTTGTGGTTAATTTTCTCTAAATGCTCCATATCTCTGTCACATGCTGTCAGTAATATTTCTTTTTCTTTTCTTTTTTTTTTTTTTTTTTTTGCAACAGAGTCTCACTCTGTTGCCCAGGCTGGAGTGCACTGTTGCAATCTCGGCTCACTGCAACCTCCACCTCCCGGGTTCAAGCAATTCTCCTGCCTCAGCCTCCCAAGTAGCTGGGACTACAGGCACCCACCACCACGCCTGACTAATTTTTGTATTTTTAGTTGAGATAGGGTTTCACCATATTGGCCAGACTGGTGTCAAACTTTTGACCTTGTGATCCGCCTGCCTTGGCCTCCCATAGTGCTGGGATTACAGGCATGAGTCATCGCACCTGGCCAGTAATATTTCTTATATGCTCAAATATGTCAGTTCCATTCTTTATTTATTTTATTTTATTTCATTTCATTTTTTTGAGACAGAGTCGCCCTCTGTCGCCCAGGCTGGAGTGCAGTGGCTCAATCTCGGCTCACTGCAAGCTCCTCCTCCTGGGTTCACGCCATTCTCCTGCCTCAGCCTCCCGAGTAGCTGGGACTACAGGCGCCCACCACCACGCCCAGCTAATTTTTTGTATTTTTAGTAGAGATGGGGTTTCACAATGTTAGCCAGGATGATCTCGATCTCCTGAGCTCGTGGTCCACCCGCCTCAGCCTCCCAAAGTGCTGGGATTACAGGCGTGAGCCACTGCACCCGGCTTTTCCATTCTTTATTTTAAAGATGTTCTTCTGAACTCTTCTTCCCCTACTTCCTATGTGAACTTTCTAGGCTTGTTGTGCAGCTCCTGTTCTGGGACTTTCCTTAGCTGCTTTTCTGTGTTTACATCTCTATTTTCCTAGGTATTATGCCTTCCTCATTTTTGCTTTATTCTGTTGTTTTATTGGAGTAATCTTGCAGTAGCCCTCTAATTAAGGGTACCTTGGAGATAAATATAAGTAATTGTATTTCTAAAAAATGCCTTTATTCTCTCCTGACATGTGATTGCTAGTTTCACTAGATATAGAATTCTAGTTGGAATTCTCTTTCAATATTGAAGGCTTTCTATCTTCTTTGTGTTATACTTTAAAAAGCTAGTATCATATAATTTCCCAGTCTTTTGTTTTGTTTTGTTTTGTTTTTCGTTTTTTGAGATGGAGTCTCGCTCTTTCGCCCAGGCTGGAGTGCAGTGAGTGATGCAATCTTGGCTCACTGCAATCTCCACCTCCCGGTTTCAAGCGATTCTCCTGCCTCAGCCTCCTGAGTAGCTGGGACTACAGATGCGTGCCACCATGCCCAGCTAATTTTTGTATTTTTAGTAGAAACGGGGTTTCACCATGTTGGCCAGAATGGTCTCAATCTCTTGACCTTGTGATCTGCCCACCTCAGCCTTCCAAAGTGCTGGGATTACAGGCGTGAGCTACTGCGCCCAGCTGATTTTCCAGTCTTTGTACAGGACCTGGTTTTGTTTTTTTGTTTTTTCCCTCTTTGGGAGCTTTTGTGATTAGTTCATCCCTGGTATTCTGAAATTTGATGATGATGTCATTGTGTTGGACTGTTTCTTTCTAAAAATTCATGTGCTTTAGTTCTGGGTAATTTTCTTAGATTTTTCTTTGGTCATTTATTCTTCTGTGTTTTCTCATTTTGCTCTTTTTTTTTTTTTCTTTAATTCTAAAGGTCCGCAAACTGATTCAGAGGCTATGTCTGGCCTCTGTCTATCCCATTTGCTTACACATTTCTTTGGCTGCTTTCACACGGTAACAGCAGAGTTAAGTAGTTGCAACAGAGACTGTATGGCCTACAAAGCTTGAGCTATTTACTGTCTGGTTCTTTGTAGAAAAAATTTGGCAGTCCCTGTTCTATTGGATGTTGGAACTCTTGGGTTGCTTGTCTGATTTTCGCTCTGTTTTCTAAAAGATTTCCTCAGGTTTCTCTTTACCTTTTTCCTTTGAATTCTTTTTTTCTGCTATTATGATATTTAGTTTACAAGAGCTTTTTCTTGTTCTCTTTTCCTTTCTTGATAGCATTTTGTCTATGGGTGTAATAGGTTTTTTTGTTTGTTTTTCTGAAATATTAAAAAGTAGATTGCTTGTCTTCTGGTGGACTTCACTTAAGGATGCTTGGGCAAGCTGGCGTTTTCCTTAGGGATACCTCCAAATATCAGTATCTGGAGGTTGTTCTTATTTAGTTTTCTGAAGAAGAATTCTCATTTTCCCCCTACGGCAGGTAGGTGCTTATCTTACAAAGTTATAGAGGCAGATTAGATAAAGACTTTTGGGCTTTATTCAGTACAGGCTTTTTAGCCCTGTACCTGGTGTTTCTGAATCTAGAGTCAGTTGCTCCAAAGAATACATCTGTGGTCCTCTTGAATTCAGAAAGGTTATTATAGCTGCAGTATAGTGATTAAATTGTGATAGAATGAAATGAATTCAAGAGATCATTAGGAAGGGTTACAGAGGTCCAAGAAAAAGATGTTAGTAGCTTAGAGATAATGGAGATGAAGGAAAACAGATTGATTTGAGATTTAGATGGAAATTTGACTTATCTCTCTATAGCTGTATTTACTGCTTGCTAATTAGATGATAGGTCTAACAAGCAGAGACTATGTCTCCACTATTTGTATATTCTGCAGCACCTGGTGCCCAGCAAGATTTGGTGTCTATTGAATGGTACTCAGCATGTTAATGATTTAATGAGATTATTATGACTTAGATTTCTTACAATCTTCACTGTTTAATCTATCATTTAAAAATCACATGATTTGGTTGAGACATTGGCTATGATCAAAGTATTTGTTTACTGATTTTTAAAATTTGCGTATATATTTACCGTATTGACCTCCATCTGGCATAAAAGATTTATGGGTGCCATTAGAGTAGTAAGATTGAAGCTATTGTTAGATGTAGGTATTTGGTGAGTTTTACTCATATCTGCTCTGAATTTTGTGTATAGATTTCTACTTTGCTAGTTAGTGTAAAAGTTATTTTGGGACAAATAACCTCATCAACAATTATAACAGATTTTCTAGATTTATCATCATTAGATTTACGTAGTAAGAGCTATATTGTCACATTCATTATGGTATCTTGATAAAAATAAGTTCTTAATTTAAATGTAGTTTAAATTATCAATCTTTTATGGTTCCTACTTTGGCGGCTTGTTCAAGAAATCCTCTCTTGGAGGATTCAAGAAGATATTTCTTTATATATTTAACTGAGTGTTTTAAATATTTTGCTTTTAACATTCAAGTCTTTAATCCATCTGGAATTGGTGGTATGAGGTAGACATCAATAAAATTTTATTTTATTCCATCTTGAAAATCACTTGTGTGTTACACTATTACCTGATTTCTGTGGTGCTACTTCTGAAGCACATTGTAATTCCAAAGATGCATGTAACTCCATATGTCTCTGATCTTTATATTCTATTCCATTTGTCAGTCTATTTCTGCACCAAATTCCACACACTGTCTTAATTATGACAGTTTTAAGATAAAGCTTGATATCTGATTGTACAATACTTCCACAGTATCCTTCCTTTTCAGGAGTGTTTTGGCTATACTTGGCTCTTTAGTCCTCCATATGAAATTCAGAATCAGCTTTTCAAAGTCCATACACAGTCTTGTTGGGAAGTTGGGAGTTGCATTGGTAGAGAAAATTGACATCTTTACAATATCTAGTTTTCCTGCCTGTGAATATGGGATATTCTTGCATTTGTATTTATCTTCTTTAATATTTGGGGATCTTTATAGTTTTTTGCGTACAGGTTGTGGTACATTGTACTTTCTAAAGATACCCACAAAAATATCCCCCATCCCACATGGCCTTCTACATTATGACCTTGCTACTCCCCCACCAATAGGTGGAGTCTAATTTCCCTTCTCTTGAATCTGGGCAGAAGTAAAGCTGCTTATTTGTTGACTTGCTAGTTTAATTTAAAACACATTGTAATTGCATTATTTTCCCCATTTTTGTCACTTACCATACAAAAGTATAAAAGGAATATTTTACAAAGCTTCATCTTCCTCAGCTCTTCTTCCCAAATACTTAATATTTAGTAACAATACTAATTGATAATAGAGGATTCTGAAAAGTACATCACAGTTTCTACCTTGAAGGAACTTACATAGACAGGAATTCACAAAAAGTTAAATTAAGTATTTAAACAATAGTTTAAAACCTTAGTAAAAGTTAATGTAAGTCAGAATATGATTAATTGACAATTGCATTATAGAGACCAATAAATGATATAGTACCTGCTATCTGGATGCTGGATAAGGGGGTATTATCCTCATTTTTCAGATACCAGAAAGCTGAAGAGATTTAGTGTTTGTCTAAGAAGTAGTAGGAAACCAGTTTATCTGGCATAGTGTCAGTGCTCTTAGTTGGCACTTCATAAGAATCTTTAATGAGAACCCATTCCAGTGTTGTATTCTAGTGTTTTTAGTTTAATCTGGAAACATTTTGAATAATAATTCAGGTGGATAGGGATTCGAGTGCTACACTTAATACCTGTATAAGATGCTCATTAGATATTTGTTAAATAAATGGAGACCTTTTTCTCTATTGATTTTTACTCTTTTTGGTGGCTTAGTTAATACTTGTTAAGCTATATATATTCTTTCTGGTGACTTTTGATGTTGAAATAAGTGAGAAGTCATTATATTAGTATCAGTGCCTTAAGTATAGTAGTTAGGTAATGAAAGAATAGTCCAGATTTATTTTAATTAAATAGCTATGACTCTGGAGCCCTTAGCAATAAATTATATGCTGTCTAGAATGTGTTTACTCTAAGTTATTTAAATGTTTACCAGTGGACTTCTGCTCTGTGTTTGTAAAGAAATCAGATTAATTATTATGATACCAAATGTTTTCTGCTGTACACAATTTGTTCTCAAAATTACATGTTGTAAAAACACATTAAGAATCCTTAAATCAATATTTTAAAAATGCAAATATATGCATAGCCACTCTTAATCATTAAATACATAATTAGCCATTTTTCAGAATTTTCAATTAACTTAAAATAATTACTTTTTACAATTATCAGTATAGATAAGTATATATTTGAATTTTTTTTAATCTTTAGACAGAAGTTTTGGGACATTACTGAAAGAAGGAAAAAAGCCATAAGTACTTATAACATTTAGTTATAAAACCAAAGAGAACAAAAGAGAGAAGTTGTTTTTAATTTATTAAAAGTGTAGGCTGGGCGCAGTGGCTCACACCTGTAATCCCAGCACTTTGGAAAGCTGAAGCGGGCAGATCACGAGGTCAGGAGATCGAGACCATCCTGGCTAACACAGTGAAACCCCGTCTCTACTAAAAATACAAAAAATTAGCCGGATGTGGTGGTGGGCACCTGTAGTCCCAGCTACTCGGGAGGCTGAGGCAGGAGAATGGCGTGAACCCAGGAGGAGGAGCTTGCAGTGAGCCGAGATCACACCACTGTACTCCAGCCTGGGTGACAGAGCGACACTCCATCTCAAAAAAAAAAAAAAAAAAAGAAAAAGTGTAGCTATAGTTTACAGTTTACTATCTGTACACTGCAAAGCTTGTTAAGTTGATATATGTTCTTTTTTAAAAACTTATGTCAGTGATTATAGACCCCTTGATTAACTGCTGGATATTTCTGAAAATTTTCAGAATTTGGTACAATACCTGCTTTTCTGACCTGATTATTAGAAAAGCAGAAGCATTTGAACATTTGCTGTGTTCTAGATACTCTTCTAGACACTGGGCATACATCTGTGGCGGTGGCAAGTGGAGAGAGCAGAGAGAGATTTTTTTAAAGTAAACAAACATGTAATATGTTAGATGATTATAAGTGCCATGAAGAAAAGTAAAGCAGGTTAAAGGCAACAAAGAATCACAGAAGGTGTTGAGTGTTCTTTTAAATAAATGGTGTTTGTGGAAGGCTTCTGATGACATTTGAGCAGAGATCTAAAGGAAGTGAAGGCATAAACCATGGGGAATAGAATTTTCCAGGCAGAGGGACGACTCTGAGGTGAGAGGATGTGGCATAGTCAAGAAATAGTAAGGAACAGTAAGGAGGTCAGTGTGGCTAGTGTGAGCAAGGAGAGTACAGGAGATGAAGTCAAAGAGATCAGAGGGTCAGATCATGGAGAGCCTTGCAGGATATGGTAACTTAGAGTTAGTAGGCAGCTTTTGGAAGGCTCTGAGCTTCTTCCACTCTGCATAAATACTTTGAAATTCATTTATGTTGTAATGTCTGTCAGTGTTTAATTCCTTTTTATTATTGAATAGTATTCTATTGTATGGCTATACCACTATACCACTGTTTGGCTATTACTAATAAAGCTGCTATGAACATTTGGGTACAGGTATTTGTGTGGACAAAGGATTTCATTTATTGTGGGTAAATAGTTAGGAGTGGAATGGCTGGAACATATAGTAGTTGTTTTTTAGGAAACTGCCAAGTTGTTTTCCAAAATGATTGTATCGTTTTATATTCCCACCAGTTCCTCCATTGTCCTTGCAAACAGTTGATATAGTCAGCCTTTTAAATTTTCACCCTTCTAATTAAGTCTGTAATGGTATCTCATGAGTTTAACCTTCATTTGCTTAATGATTAATGATGTTTCTGTTTTCTTTTGAATTTTGAATTTTAATAAATTAAAAACAACTTCTCTTGTTCTCTTTGATTTTATAACTAAATGTTATAACTGCTTATGGCTTTTTTCCTTCTTTCATGAATTTTTTATTCCATTTTATCTCCTTGCCTTGCTAGCTAATACCTCTTTTAGTGGTTCCTTTAGGGTCTTTAGTGTACATCTTATCACAGTTTATTTGCAAGTGGTATTATTCTATTTCACATATGTTTAAGAAACTTAACAATACACCTATATTTCTCCTCTACCAGCCTATATGCTGTTGTTCTCATATATTTAACTTTTATACATCATATACTTCATAATATTTAAATAGGCATTTATTTTTTAAGTGATTTAGATATTAAAGAAAAAAATCTTATATATGTACTGGTGTCATTTCCATTTTTAGTGTGCTTAATGCCCTTATGTAGATCCATATTTCCATCTGGTGTGGTTTTCCTTTTGCTGGAAAGATTTCCTTTAACATTTCTGGGAGTGTGATTCTGCTGTGACGAATACTTTGAGTTTTTGTATATCTGAAAAGTTTTTATTTCGCCATTGTTTTTAAAAGAAATTTTGCTGTATATACATTGACTTTTTTCTTTCAGTACTTTAAAGATGTTCAGCTGTCTTCTCACTTGCATTGTTTCTGATGAGAAATCTGCTTAATTCTTATCATTGTTCCTTTGTATGTAATGTGTCTCATTTCTCTCGCTTCTTTTATGATTTTCCTTTAATCTCTGGTTTTGGGCACTTTGATTATGATAGGCTTTGGTGGCATTTTCTTCCTGTCTTGTGCTTTGAATTTATTGAGCTTCTTGGACCTCTGGACTTATCGTTTGCATCAAATATGGGCACTTTTTGGCCATTATTCATATATTTTTCTGTCCCCTCCCTTCTCTTCTCCTTCAAGGGCTCCAATTACACATATGTTAGGTTGCTTAAAGTTATGTGATAGCTCACTGATGCTCTTTTAATTCTTTTTGATTGTTTTATCTGTGTGTTTTATTTTGGATAGTGTCTATTGCCATGCCTTTATGTTTATTAGTCTTAACAGCAGTGTCTAGTCTGCCATTAATCTATTCAATGTATTCTTTATCTCACTCACATATTGTAGTTTTCCCCTCCAGAATTTTGATTTGAGTCTTTTTTATATCTTCTGTGTCTCTAATTAACTTTTTGAACACATGAAATACAATTGTAATAGCTATTTTTATATCTTTTTCTACTAATGCTTATATCTATGGCAATTCTAGGTCAATTTCAGTTCAGTGATTATTTTCTTCATTATGGGTGATGTTTTCTTGTTTCTTTGTGTCTAGTGATATTTGATTGGGTCTCTTTTACTTTGGTAGGTGCTGGATATTTTTATGTTTTATACATCTTATGTTTATATAAAACAATGAGCTTTGTTCTGGAATGTAGTTAAGTTGCTTGGAAACTGATCCTTTAGGGTCTTACTCTTATGATTCATTAGGCTTAACTATAGCGCTGCTCAGTCTGTGGCTAATTATTTCTCATCATGGGGGCAAAACCTTTTTGAGTGCACTACTCAATGCCCTGTGAATTAAGAGTTTTCCCATTTTGGCTGGTGGCAACAGGCAGTGTCTCCAGTGTTGAGTGAGTGCTGGGTACTGTTCTCTCTAACTTTTTCAGGTGGTTTCCTCGCCAGCTTTGGGTAATTTCCTCACATACATGTTCTGATCAGTTCTTTGCTGAATTCTGGTATTTAGTGACCTCTAAATACCGATGTATCACTGATCCCTCTGCATATTTCCAGGGCTCTCTCTCCCTGTGCTGCACTCTCCTCTCCAGGGCTCTGTTAAATGAACAGTGCTCACCTTGGACAGAACCAGAAGTCATCTATTATTGTTTTGAAACTGCAAATATAGTATACTTAACAATTTTCTTTTCTACGATAAGAAAACATTAGGATTAAGAAACATTTTGTGATCAAAATTTGAAACTAAATGAGAGTTGGAAATTGTTACTACTATAATAATTCACTGAAGAACATTAACTTGGCTTTTATAGAAATTTGATAAAGGCCAGGCGCAGTGGCTCACGCCTATAATGCTAACATTTTGGGAGGCCGAGGTGGATGGATTGCCTGAGCTCATGAGTTCAATACCAGCTTGGGCAACATGGTGAAACTCTGTCTCTACAAAAAATACCAAAAAATTAGCCAGGCATGGTGGTGTGTGCCCTGTAGTCCAGCTGCTTGGGAGGCTGAGGTGGGAGGATTTCTTGAGCCTGGGATATTGAGATTGCAGTGAGCCATGATCATGCCACTGCACTCCAGCCTGGGTGACAGTGTGAGACCTTGTCTGGAAGGAAGGAAGGGAGGGAGGGAGGGAGGGAAGGACCTGATAAGAGGGAGGGAGGGAAGAAGGAAGGAAGCTATCGGCCTGAGATTTTTCTTCATAATAGTGATGATGTAGAACTTGTTGAGGTCACAGATTTCTGGGATCCACATTAGAGATTCTGATTCAGTAGATCTCAGACCACATTTGGAAAGATACGGCTTTGGAGAAGCTATCCCAGTTCCGTAAGCACACAGATGCACAAAAATAAAATCAGCCATGGAATTTGTAGATGTGAGATGTGACTTTCATGATTTTACTAGGAAAAACATAGAACACTTGAGCTATCTACTTTTTAATTTTTAAAAAGGGGGATGATTTAAAAGGGAGAAACAATAGAAAAGAGAGGGAATGAGGAGGAGAGTGGAGAAGCAAATATAGTAGACTGGTTAGGAGAAAAGAAACGATTAAGGAGAAGCAAAACCAGATAGAGAATGGAAAAGAAGATACAAGAGTGGATTCCAAAATGAATGCTATTAGGATATAACTTGTTTTAGTTTATTGTGAGTTAAATTTTGCCTTAAAGTTCTTATGAGCTGATTAATCAGGATTTAGGATCCTTGACCTCTACTCTGATTGGCATAGGTTCTACAGAATCTCAGGGAGGAAATTAAATCTAAAACATCGTCAGTTGTAAGACACACTATTATTTTGTATACCTCTAAGAAAGAAAAAAGTACTGCCAGTTAACTATGCACAATGCTTTTTACCATTTATTTTAAGATACTTTCCAATTTTAGAGATGTTAAAATGTGGACAAGATACTGTGTTTTAAAATTGATGAAATACAGTATTTAGAAGGCTTCTACCCTACCTCAGTCTTTTCCCAATCTGTTCTTCCTATTTAGTGTGTTCTATTTTCCCATTATTATTTTTCAGAGACAGCACAAGTCTCCCCTCCTTCATGAAGCCTACCTAGATCCTTACTATGTTTCAGATTTCCTTTGAGCATGTTTCTTCCACCCCTTTCATTTTGAATATTTCCCCTTAATAGAGAATCAAAAGCAAAATAGGAGTTACATAGTTCTGCTCTCTCTGCATCATCTGCCAACACTGCACCATCTGCCCCAAGCAGTGGGCCTGAACTTTCTTTCTTGTTCTTACTCTACATGTATTTTTTAAGTCCTTTTTATTGTTCTTAACATTTTTTCATCAGCCTCCGCTCATTCTGGGCTCTAACTTTACTTACAAGATTCTCTTTGTTTTACAAGTCTCTTAAAATTCTGAACTTATCATAGCACACCTTACACAACAACCATATTGGATTCTTTAGATGCCACTTTCTTTTCTTTCTTATCAGATTAACTTATTTTAGTTTTTTATTTTTTGAGAGGCAGTCTCGCTCTTGTCGCCCAGGCTGGAGTTCAGTGGCACGATCTCAGCTCACTGCAACCACCACCTCCCGGGTTCAAGTGAGTCTCCTGCCTCAGCCTCCCAAGTAGCTGGGATTACAGGTGCCCACCACCATGCCTGGATAATTTTTGTATTTTTAATAAAGATGGGGTTTTACCACGTTGGCCAGGCTGGTCTCAAACTCCTGACCTTCAAGTGATCCGCCCGCGTCGGCCTCCCAAGGTGCTGGGAGTACAGGTGTGAGGTTAATTGTTTTTATAGTGTCAGATTAACTTGTTTGTATAGTGTAGAATTTTACTTTTTTTTTTTTTTTTTTTGAGATGGAGTCCCACTCTGTCACCCAGGCTGGAGTGCAGTGGCGTGATCTCAGATCTCAGCTCACTGCAACCTCCACCCCCCGGCTTCAAGCAATTCCCCTGCCTCAGCCTCCCAAGTAGCTAGGATTACAGGCGCACACCACCATGCCCAGCTAATTTTCTTGTATTTTTAGTAGAGACGGGGTTTCTTCATGTTGTCCAGACTGGTCTCAAACTCCTGACCTCAGGCAGTCCGCCTGACTCAGCCTCCCAAAGTGCCGGGATTACAGGCGTGAGCCACCGCACCCGGCCTAGAATTTTACTTTTTAGAAACTTTATCTCTTTTGCAAAAAACTTTATTACAGTGTGATTTCTGCTATGGCATCATACAGCTTTTTTCTTTAAACTTGATCAAATTATCTTTCCTAAAGAATCTCTAATCCTAGTGTTCCTTCTAACTCTTGTGAACTAAACTGCAAGATGGCATCATGGTTTCTCTCTCATGTGTCTCACTTCCACTTCACTATTTTATGCTTGTATGTCAGAATTAATTCCAAAGGAGTAGTTCTTTTCATTATTTCTTCCACTTAATGAAAGATGGAATGTTTCATATGCTAGTGACTACACTTTTCTAGGGAAGAATTTTAGTTGGTTTCTTGATAGTTGGAGATGCATGTTGTTGGACCACTACTTTGCCACTTTTTGCAAAGTATTAAGAAAGCATTCATTCTTTTACCATATTGATTGAATCATACCATATACCAGGGACCAAATGTGGCCTTGAGGATATATGACAAAGAAATTAGACACAATCCCCGTTCTTAGAAACTTTACAGTTCAGTTGAATGTTAAGTAATATCCTTATCCAGTATACTTCCACAATAAAATTCCTGCTCAGTTTTACCCCTACCCAAATGCTTCAACCTCGTTTCTGTCCTAAGGTTAATTGACCATACAAGTCAATGTAGTAGTATTTTCTGAAAGTATTTAAGCTTTTTATTGTGAAATATAATTTACGTATTCTAAAAAATGCCTAAAATATAAATATACACCTAAATAAATTATTATACTGTGAACACTCATGTATCACTACTCAGATCAAGAAATAGTTGCTGGTATCCTAGAAGCCCATAGCCTCTTCCCAATTACAACCACCTTTTCCCCTGCAAAAAGAATCACTATCTTGATTTATATGGTAAATACTTTGTACCTTTTCTGTATAATTTTACTGCCAAAGTGTGTCCTTAAGACTGTAGTTTAATTTAGCCTATTTTTGAACATTATATAAATTGAATTAAACAAGATATCTTTTGTGTCTGGCTTGTCATTTACCTGTGTTTTTGCCTATAACAATAGTTCATCCATTTTCATTGCTGTATATATTCTATTTAATGAACATACCATAGTGTTTCCATTCTGTGGATGGACATTTGAGTTGTTCAGTTTATATTATAAATGCTATTAACATTCTTGTATATTTTTACACATGTGCACATATTTCTGTTGAGTATATTCCTAGGACAGGAATTGTTGGTTCCTTCAGCATACTTACTTTCAACTTTAGTAAGTAATGCCAAGCTATTTTCCAAAACAGTAATGTTAATTTTACATTCCTTCCAGCAGTGAGTACAATCCTGTGGGCACCACATCCTTACCAATACCAATATTTAGTATTGTCAGACTTTAATTTTAGCTGTTCTGGTGGGTAAGTTAATTGTGGTTTTAATTTACATTTACCTGATTATTCATGAGATTAATTTTTCATGTGTTTATGAGACATGCCCATTTAGAGTTCTTGCCTAAGTTTCTGTGGGTTGTTTGTATTTTTTTATATTGATTTGTAAGACTTCTTCATATGTTTTGCCTATGACCCCTTTATCAGTTATATGTGTTGCAGATATCTTCTGCCACTCAGTGGTTTACTTTTTCACTGTCTTAGTGGTGTTTCTTGATGACTAGAAGCTCATTTAATTTAAAGGTTATCAATCTTATAGTTAGTGATTTTGTGCCGTGTTTACTTTTATTTTTATTTTTTAGAGACGGGGTCTCCTTTTGTTACCCAGGCTGGAGTGCAGTGGCGCAATCATAGCTCACTGCTGTCTCAAACTCCTGGGCTCGAGAGTTGTGCCATGTTTAAGAAATCTTTCCTACCCAGGGTTACAAAGATATTCTTCTATTTAAAAGTGTTATTGTTTTGCCTTTCACATTTAAGTCTACAGTCCATCTGGTTGATTATTGTATATGGCGTGAAGTGGTATATCCAGCTTTATTTTTTTTTCATAAGGATACCCAAATTACTAGGCATAATGATTTGAAAACTTCATTTTTTTTCCCATCATTGCTCTGTAGTGCTACTTTTGTCGTAAGTCAAGTGCATTTATGTTTGGGTTGTTTCTGGGCTGTTTCACTGTGTATTTGTCTTTTCTTGCACTAATGCCATACTCTCTTAATTACTATGGCTTTATAATGAGTTTTGATATCTAATAGAGGAAGTTCTCCTACTTCCTTCTTCACAAGTGATTTGGATAGTCTCAGCCCTGTGCATTTTCATATACATTTTAGAATCAGCTTATTAAGTTTCACCAAAACAAAACAAAGTATCAATTAACCTTTTGCAAATTTATTTAATTTATTGAATTCCTGTATTTGTTTTTGTTTGTTCGTTTGTTTGTTTGTTTGTTTTGAGATGCAGTCTCGGTCTGTTGCCCAGGCTGGAGTGCAGTGGCGCGATCTCTGCTCACTGCAAGCTCCGCCTCCTGGATTCAAGTGATTCTCCTGCCTCAGCCTCCCGAGTAGCTGGGACTACAGGCGCATACCACCTCGCCCGGCTGATTTTTGTTTCTGTTTTTGTTTTTTTGAGTTGGTGTCTCACTCTGTCACCCAGGCTGGAGTGCAGTGGCGCAATCTTGGCTCACTGCAACCTCTGCCTCCTGGGTTCAAGCGATTCTCCTGCCTCAGCCTCCCAAGTAGCTGGGACTACAGGTGTGCGCCACCACGCCCAGCAAATTTTTGTATTTCTTAGTAGAGACGGGGTTTCACCATGTTGGCCAGGCTGGTCTCGAACTCCTGACCTCAAATGATCTGCCCACCTTGGCCTCCCAAAGTGCTGAGATTACAGGCGTGAGCCACTGCACCCAGCTGAATCTCTATATTTGAATAAAAGTGACATCTTTGCAATATTGAATCCTCCAATCCATGACCATATTTTATTGTTTTATCTTTTATATGAAGCTAGATTTAAATTGCTGGTGTTTCTTTAGGATTTTAAAATCTTGTTTATAGTGCGTGAGACTAGTCTGAATTTTTCTTTATTCTTAATCTTCTTAAGTTTCGTTTCAAGGTTGTGCTATCATAAAGAGTTAGAGGATGGTCTTTTTCTGTGCCTTTGAAGAATTTGTGTAATTTCCTTTAAATATTTGGTAGAATTGGCCAGTAAAACTATCAGGCTGGGCTTTTTCTTTGTTTGTTTGTTTAGTTGGTTTTGGTTTTGTGTGGCGAGGAAGAGAGACTTCAAAATATACATTTAATTTCTTTAATAATTATATGACTATTTTGGTTTCTGTTTGTCAGTTTGATAAGTTATAGTCTTCTAATAATTTATTTCATCTAAGTTTTCTAATTTATTGGCATACATTTTTTCAGAATATTTTATTTTTTAATTCTGCAAGATCAGTAGTAATGCCGTTTTTCATTTCTGATTTTGGTTATTTATGCCTTCTCTATTTTTTAAAATTATTTGTCAATGAGGTTTATCAATTTTATTAGTCTTCCCAAAAATCTAGTTTTGGCTTGGTTAATCTATTGTATTATGTTTGTTTTTCTGTTTCATCAAATTTATTTTTACATTTTTATTATTTTCTCCTTTCTACTTTTTTTGCAATTGTTTTTACTATTTTCTAGTTTCTTGCAATGGATTTTCAGTCTACTAATTTTCAACCTTTTTTCTTTTCTAATATATATATATGCAGTTACAGCTATAAATTTGTATTGCTTTGGCTGCCTGTAGGTTTAAATATGCATTATTTTTCTTTTCATTCAGGTCAAAGCATTTTTTTTTTTTTTTAAGTTGGAGTTTCACTCTTGTTGCCCAGGCTGGAGTGCAATGGTGCAATCTTGGCTCACTGCAACCTCCGCCTCTTGGGTTCAAAAGATTCTCCTGCCTCAGCCTCCCGAGTAGCTGGGATTACAGGTGCCCACCACCACACCCGGCTAATTTTTTGTATTTTTAGTAGAGATGGGGTTTCGCCATGTTTGTCAGGCTGGTCTCAAACTCCTGACCTCAGATGATCCACCCTCCTCAGCCTCCCAAAGTGTTAGGATTACAGGCATGAGCCACTGCGCCCAGCCAGCATTTTTTATTTCTATTGTGATTTCTTTGACTTGTGGGTTATTTAGAAATATGTCTTTCTTCATTATTGGTCATGAAATGTTTATAGATATATTTTATTAATGATTTCAAGTTTAATTTTATTATGATCAGAGTATATGGTCTGTATGATATCAGTGTCAATATTTTTGAAATTTGTCAAAACTTCCTTTAAGACTTAGTGTATAATCAATTTTTATAATTGTTCTCCATGTGTATTTGTGTGTTTTTGACATGTGTATTCTCACCTTGTTTGGTATAATGTTCTATATAATTTATATCTAGTTTGTGTTAAACTTATTGTTCAAATCCTCTATATTAACTTAACATCCTTTTGTCCATTTGTTCTGTTAATTACTTAAAGGTGTTAAAGCTTTCCCTTATGATTGTGGATTTGTTTCAATTTTTCTTTATAGTTCTTGTCCGGTTTTGCATTATATGTATTGTGGGTATGTTATTAGGTGTACTTAACTTAGGTATTATTATATATTCCTGGTACAGATATTATAAAGTGATTCTCTTTATTTTTAGCAATGTTTTGGCTTTAAAGTCTGTTTTTTCTAATATTGCCGCAGCAGGTTTTCTTTGGAGAGGAGGTGTTAGGGTTAAAGTGGTTTATCTTTTTCATCTTCTTACATTGAACCATTCTTTTCTTTATGTTTTAGATACAATCGCTTAAGTTTTTTAAAATTCAGTCTATAAATCTTTATCCTGTAACTGGAATATTTATTTCATTTTTATTTAATGTAATTATCGATATATTTAGGTTTAAATCTTTCACCTTATTGTGTGCTATTTCTTAAACATATTTTTTAAATCTCCATATTTACTTTCTTTTGTATTGATCTTGTTTTTTTTAATTTATCTAATTTTTTCCTTTCTAGTTTAGGAACTACATTTGAGCCTTCTCCAAGGATTTCATCAACTGTGGAACAAAAATTTTTTTTTTTTAAATGGACAGTTGCGGCCGGGCGCGGTGGCTTACGCCTGTAATCCCAGCACTTTGGGAGGCTGAGGTGGGTGGATCACCTGAGGTCAGGAGTTCGAGACCAACCTGGCTAACATAGTGAAACCCCATCTCTACTAAAATACAAAAAAATTAGATGGGCGTGGTGGCTGGCGCCTGTAATCCCAGCTACTCGGGAGGCTGAGGCAGGCGAATCGCTTAAACCTGGGAGGCGGAGGTTGCAGTGAGCCAAAATCGTGCCACTGCACTCCAGCCTGGGCGATAGAGCAAGACTCCATCTCAAAAACAAAAACAAAAACAAAAACAAAAAGAATGGATAGTTGCATCTGTACTGACTCTTTTGCTTGTCACTGTTCTCTATAAAAGTACAGTATAACAATTTATATAGTATTTATATTATATTAGGTATTATAAGTAATCTAGCGATAAAGTATACAGGAGGATATTCATAGGTTTTACACAAATACTACACCATTTTATGTAAGGCTTTGAACATCTATGGATTTTGGGTATTTGCAGGGAGTCCTGGAACCAATCCTCCATGGATACCAAGGAATAAATGTATATACTTTTACTAGAAATTACAACGTACATCTTTAACTTAGAAGTACAGATAATATCAGTTCCTTAGACTATTTTAGTTCCATGTATGCCCTGCAACTTAAATGCTACTTTTATATAAATATTTCTAAACACCACAGACATTAGTATTATTGTTTTAGTAGAGTTACTGGTCATCTAGATTTACCCACTTTTTAGCATATTTTCATTTCTGTTCATTTCTTTTTGCATTTCCAACTTTTTATCTGGGATTAATTGTTATTTTTGAAGATCACCATTTAATATTTCTCTTACTGTGTGTTATTGACTGAAGGCAAATTCTCTCAGCTTTTGTTTGTCTAAAAATATTTTTATTTTACCTGTGGTCTTGAAAGATATTTTTGCAGCATATAGAACTTTAGGTTGATAGTAATTTGCTTTCTATACTTTGAATATTTTGTTCCATTGTCTTTAGGCTTTCGTTATTGCTGTTGAGAAGTCGTATTATAATCTTACTGTTTCTTTGCAAGAAACTCTTGTCTCTAGCTGCTTTTAGACATCTTTTCTCCTTCTTTTTCTCTCTTCTGGCTAGGTGTATTTTTCCTTTTATTTATTCTTCTCAGGATTTGTTGACCTTGAATTGTGGATGGATGTTTTTCTTCAATGTTTTGAAAATTCTCAGTCATTATCTATTCAAATTCATTTTCCGTCTTCTTCTGGAATTCTAAGTAAATGTATATTGTACCCTTTTCTAACTATATCTTCTGTATTTCTTAACTTTTCTTCTATATTTTTTACTTTCCTTGTTTCTTTTTTACATAGTTTCTTCAGATCTGTTTTCCAATTTATATCTTTCTTGAACTGGGCCTAATATGAAGCTAAACTCAATTATTAAATTCTTGTGGACATTATTTTAAAATTATAGAATATTCATTAAAAAACCTATATGTTGCTTTTTATAGTTTCCAATTGTCTGCTAAATTTTCAAGCTTTATTTTTATGCCTTTGAACAAAATAACTATAGTTTTGTAGACTACATTTGCTCATTCCCTCATTACATGTCCTTTTGGATGTTTCTGTTGCCTGTTGTTTTTGCTGTTTCTTCCTCATGCTGCATATGTCCTCATGTGCTTGGTAATCTTTGATTGGTGGACATTGTATTTGAAACATTATTTATAGAAATTATTTGAAGCTAGGGATGATGTTATCTTCCTCCAGATATTTTCATTTGCTCTTCTAAGCCGCTGGGGGCACTAACTTTCCAAGATTATCTTTATCCAATTTTAGAGCTTAAGGTTTTCTGTGAGCTACTCGAGACTGGAGGCCAGTCTGTAGTTCATGCAAGGGCTGCTTTATTTTAGGATTACCTGTGTTCCTAGGGTGGAGCTCTGACGATCCCAGCCAAAAGTACCAGAGTCCTTATACTTAGCAGGTCTTGGCATTGAAATTTTAATCCAAGCTTTGTGAGTTTATATTCTGGTATGCAAATACTCCCAAAGCAAATGTGGTCCTGAGTTCAGGACTCACCTCTCTAGATTTCCATCTTTGCCCAATTCTTGTCCTATAGTTACTTACTATCTTGTTTGCTTTATGGTACTTTTCAAGTTTTTTTTTTTTTTCCTATTGGTTTGTTTTGTGATTTGATTTTTGTTCAACTTTTGAAGTAGCCATTAGTGGGAAGGTTAGTCTGAATCACCTAGCCTGCTGTTTTCAGAAGCAGAAACACCTGACTTTATGTTCTTCATATATGGTTTTACCATCCTGTTCCCTCTGTTTGATTTTAGAGAGATTCCCTAGTTGCCCTATCCAATGTAGTAGCTCCTAACTACATGTGACTGTTGAGCACTTAAAATGTAGCCAGTTTGAACTGAGATGTGCTGTGAATGTAAAATATATACCAGATTTCTAAGACTTACTACAAATAAAACAATGTAAAAGATTTTAAGTTTTATAATTGCATATTAAAATAGTATTTTAGCTATATTAGGTTAAATAAAATATTATTAAAATTAATTTCCCTTGTTTTTACTTTTTTAATGTAATTTAAAAAATTTTTAAATTACATATGTGGCTTGTGTGTGTGATTTGCATTATGTTTGTGTTGGATGGTGTTTGCTATGTAATAAAGTAGTTAGAACACAAGATCTGTGGTCTGGATTTGATTCTTGCCTATACTATTTACTAGCAGTGTAATCCTGGGCTACTTTTTGAACTTCTTGCTTTAATTTTCTCTTCTATAAAATGAGAATAATAGTAATATCCATTTCAAAGATATATTGTGAGGGGAAGATAAAAGACGTAAAGCTGTTAGCACAATCGATAACTTTAAGTGTTGATTAAAATTTAGCCACTATTTATGTTTTTGTTATCATTGTTGCTGTTATTATAGTATCAGATTTTATACTTCAGTGGGTTTTTTCTTTCTCTCCCTCAAAATTTTCCACATTACTCATAGTAATAGAGTTCTTAGCTGGATACTGTAATTTGACTGGGGACAGACATATGTACAAATTACATAAGTGAGGAAGGTGTCACAAACAAATGCTCATTAAGTTTGGCTGTAGAAAATTTTTAATGCTTCTCCAAGATAATATTACCTAAAATATTTCTGTAGACTGGTAACTATATAACCAAGCTTTATAATTATGGTCCAGAAAGGAGTCACATAGCCAGGAAATGGTGGTGTGTTGGAAACAGTATTGTTCTGGGACTTGAGGCCTGGGCTGTAGTCCAAATTCTGCCACTGTGTTTGTCTAGACTCCAGTTTCCTTATTGTAAAATTGTGAGGTTGTATTAGATGCTCACTTATGCCCCCTTTAAGGTTATATAATTTTAACATATTAATACCTACATTTCACATATTTTGAATCTACAGTTTAATTATCCTTAGGTTTTTCAGCTCATATTAGAATGGTAAGAGACTGAAGATAAGGTTACAGGAAGTATAGAGTCATGGTAAGATAGAGGCACAATTTTTTCACCCAGAAAAATCTTACAAGATGCTTTAGGTTGTAACTAAACTATTTTTTTTTCTAGAATTGACTTTAATTTTACTACAGTAAAATGGAAACTTTAGATTGTATTATATTAAGATACTACATAGATAGACATTATTATTATAGTTTAGTGGAAAGATTGCTGGCCCTATCGGAATATCTGGGTTTTAACCCCAGTTTTGCCACTAGATAACTTAAGTAAATCCTAAACAGGTTTTTTTTTGTTTGCTTTTTCCATATGTAATAATTTGGACTGTAATAATGTAACACCTCACTCAGAGTATGCACTTGAAAAATTAATTCTTACTTAACTGGTCTGTCTACTGTGTAGGATTTGCATTAATATTGTGAAAACACTTTAGGGGAAAATAATTTAAAATATATGAATAGACATATAACTTTTCTTACTTTGATTATTTTTGCAAATTTGTTCTATTTAATCTTAAAGGGATTGTTTCTT
The DNA here is from genome assembly GCF_000001405.40 of Homo sapiens. Taxonomy (NCBI): domain Eukaryota; kingdom Metazoa; phylum Chordata; class Mammalia; order Primates; family Hominidae; genus Homo; species Homo sapiens. Next base: position 99,949,798 of record NC_000009.12, read on the forward strand.
TGTTTTCAAAGTATAGACCATTGAGAAAGAGGGAAAGCTCCCCAGTATATTTTATGAAGTTAGCACAACCTTAAACCTGTTAAAGCAAATTTAAACCTAGTAAAGATAGTATAAATACACAAACTGTGTACATGCACACATGTATACACACACACACACACACACACACTCCTATGTGCTAAAGTTTCAAATAAAATACTAGCAAATGAATTCAGCATTGTATTTAAAAATTATATATATTGACTAGAAAGGCTTTATCCCAGGAATATAAAGATGACTCTACACTACAAAATCTGTACATAATTCATTATAGCAACATATTAGAGGTAAATTTATAACTAAGCCAGTAGGTATTTCTCAAAAAGAAGGAAAATCATTTGATAAAAATCTAACAACTTCATTCATAGGGAAGTGCAGAGTAAAGCAACAGTGAGATGACATGCAGGACTGGCAGCATGTGAAGAAATAGGCAATCATACCTTGATGCTAGTGTGAAGTGTTACTGCTTTTTGGGAAAAAAACAACAATAGCTTCTGAAATAAAAATGCACATTATCATTTGAATATTCCTGTTTCTGGGAGTCTTTCCTACACAAAATAATATATTAATATTAGTGTATACTATAATGTTAATATATACTAATATAGTAAATTAGGACTTATATGCAGGGATATTTGTTTCATAGTTTGTAATAACTAAAAATTAGGAACAACATGAATGTTGATCACCGAAGGAGTGACTGAGTAAATTATTCTACACTACACCGTGGAATATAGTGTAACCATTGAGCAGGAGGGATAATATTGTTGAGTATGGAATGGCAAATTATAGATTACTGTGTATAATGTAATCCATTTTTTAATAAAAAGGGAGAAGCCTTATATATGTTAAATGTGTGCATGAGCCGTGAGAAATGTGTGGGAGTATTGAGTTAAGAGGGGGTGGGATAGGTGAAGTGAGAATATCATTTTTATTTCATATGCTTCTGTAGTGTTTGATTTATTGTGAAGAGCATTTATTTTTGTATAACCACATTTAATGAAGGAAAAATGCTAAATAAATTCAAAGTATGAGCATGTGGGTTCCAAAGATGCTGCATTTGGCCAGCCAGAGACATGGAAAATGTAAAAGTATTATGCTACACCTTCTATTGTGGAGATATTTGTTATAATTTCCATCCACAACTATTATAACATTACTTCTGAAAAGAAAGATATCTTATACTAAGAAATGGTGGCATTAATGATTTTTTTCTTTTATAGCAACTCCGATCCAATATCCGAGAAATTGAGAAACTTTGTTTGAAAGTCCGAAAGGATGACCTAGTACTTCTGAAGAGAATGATAGATCCTGTTAAAGAAGAAGCATCAGCAGCAACAGCAGAATTTCTCCAACTCCATTTGGAATCTGTAGAAGAACTTAAGAAGCAATTTAATGATGAAGAAACTTTGCTACAGCCTCCTTTGACCAGATCCATGACTGTTGGTGGTAATGTATTGTGCTAAGTCTTATTCTCAGTCACAGTAGTGCAGTTAATTAAAGATCACCTCCTTGAGTAGATACTGAATTATCTATAGGTCTTCAGAGACCATTCACTATCCCAATATGCTGAATCCTTGGACCCTGATCAGTGTTCCTGGAAATGTGTACCCTGGATATTTTGCAGAATAAAAAATTTAAGGCTATGCTTATGGAGTGGGACTTCAGGGAAAGTACCCGTTTGTCTATTTATTGAAGAGAAATTTAAATATATTTCCTAAGGATAATGTCATTCTTGTCTGCAAAGTACTCTTTACTCCTTTCCAGGTGCAGGGGTGACCTCTTCAGGCATGCTTTTTTTTCTTAAGCATTCTGATTTTCAGAGGGGATGTTAGATCTATCTTTCAGCCAAGTTCTCTGAATAACTGACAACATTAAGTAATCTACAATGGGAGTTAAGCCATCATCTTCTGTGAAGTGATACTCTAAGAAACAGCCCTGTGAAATTTGTCATTACATCTCTTCTAAGGATGTAATTGATAATTGCTGATCACATTATAATAATGTCTTTAATTCTGAAAATATTCTTGGCTTAATACATAGTAGTACTTCAAAGTAGTTGGTCTTTTTTTTTAAAATCTTTTGGGTATTCAATGGAATAACTGATAAGGTTTTCCTACTTAAATTGTTTACTAGAAAGCTTAGAGCCAAAATTTTTAGCCACCAAAAGTCAGATTTTTAAACCTATCCTAGCTTTGTTTTATAACTACTGCCCTTGTTTTCTTTTTTTGTTTCAGTGTTTCTCTTTTGTTAGTAACTTGTCTCATCTTGTTATATTTTATAAATTATTCTAAGCTACCTTTAATCCTTACGGAAAAGGTGGAGTATAAGTAAGTTACAAATTAGAGTAGAATCTTAGAGATGTTACAAAAAGTGGGCGAAGAGCATGAACAGACACTTCTCAAAAGAAGACATTTATGCAGCCAAAAAACACATGAAAAAATGCTCACCATCACTGGCCATCAGAGAAATGCAAATCAAAACCACAGTGAGATACCATCTCACACCAGTTAGAATGGCGATCATTAAAAAGTCAGGAAACAACAGGTGCTGGAGAGGATGTGGAGAAATAAGAACACTTTTACACTGTTGGTGGGACTGTAAACTAGTTCAACCATTGTGGAAGTCAGTGTGGCGATTCCTCAAGGATCTAGAACTAGAAATATCATTTGACCCAGCCATCCCATTACTGGGTATATACCCAAAGGACTATAAATCATGCTGCTATAAAGACACATGCACACGTATGTTTATTGTGGCAGTATTCACAATAGCAAAGACTTGGAACCAACCCAAATGTCCAACAATGATCGACTGGATTAGGAAAATGTGGCACATATACACCATGGAATACTATGCAGCCATAAAAAATGATGAGTTCATGTCCTTTGTAGGGACATGGATGAAATTGGAAATCATCATTCTCAGTAAACTATCGCAAGGACAAAAAACCAAACACTGCATGTTCTCACTCATAGGTGGGAATTGAACAATGAGAACACATGGACACAGGAAGGGGAACATCACACTTGGGACTGTTGTGGGGTAGGGGGAGGGGGGAGGGATAGCATTAGGAGATATACCTAAGCTAAATGATGAGTTAATGGGTGCAGCACACCAGCATGGCACATGTATACATATGTAACTAACCTGCACATTGTGCACATGTACCCTAGAACTTAAAGTATAATAACAATAAAATAAAAATAAGAATAAAAATAAAAAAAAAGAAATGTTACATCTGCCCATTTTTTCTTTTTTTATTTACTCAGGGCACTCCTGCATCACTATCTCCAAAGCCAGATTATTTTTAATTTTATATTTTCAGTGCTAATGATCCAGTAATTTACAGAGAGATTAAAAAAAGCTTTTGGAAGAAACATTTAGGCCACTAGTCAGAGTTTCTGGGTAATCTTGCTTTTGTTGTAGCCTTAGTACCTAGCACAATGCTTGGCACATAATGGACCTAAATGTTTTATAAACATAAATACATAAATATCTTTTTAGAGACAATTTTGTAATTTCACATGCACTGTAACCACCTCACTCTGTGGATAACCAGTACTGTAAATGTTTTTGAGAGAAGGAGATGCTAGCACTCAATCCTTGGTTGAAAAGTATTTGGGAAGAATGCTTTTTGATAGTTTGTAATTACCGTTTCATTATTCTGTTCATCTATAGTTATTGCTGCCATATTGGTGAGGTTGAAGGCCGTTTTTATCACTTAGTGCAAACTGATGCTTTATGTGCACATGTGGAGTAACTGAGTTTTATAGTTGCATGTGATTAAGGGCTCATCTTATGTACCCAGACATTGTGATAGTTGTGATGGTAATAATAACTGTGAAGATAACCTGGATTTTCTGGAAAGAGTAACTAACATCAATCTTTTTGCTACTTAGCTTTGAATTGCCTATCTCTAGCAATTCCCCTATCAAACAAAAATTTGGAGTTCATCTGAGAGTTTTCTCACAGTATTTTAATATCCTAATACTTGCTTTAATTTGCATTTTATTATTGCATTATTTGTTTTACTGCCAGTAGAACTGTTCGGGATCAACAACTTTGGGCTTATATGTCATCAGAGAAATTGGGTGATTATTATTAATAGAAAAAGGCAGTTTACCCAGTTTGCTGGCAATTAACTTTCTCCATAGGAAGCTGATTGGTATATAAAAAAAAACTTCGGCAGATTTTGAAGAAGTATGTGCATAAAGGAAATGAAAAAATTGGAGCAGAGCCAGAGAATGAGGGAGAAGAAATAGCAGGTGAAATTCACTTCCCAATTCTCTTGATTCTCAAACTTCTCAATTCACCAAATGGGCTATTAAAGACCTAATTACTAGGAGAAAACTAAAAAATTAAATCTCTATAACTAGTATTGATTTGGTTGAGACAGTCATTCTATTAATAAAATCAATACCTAGGTTATACCTAAAATAGTGTATAGAATTTCAAATTCAATAGTCTGCTTGTCATAGTGTGCTTTCACTATTAATCCACTGCCAACATAAAGCAATTAAAAAACTACTGTCTCACCAAGTGCCTGAGTATTTCGCCAAGTGTGAGAGTTTCTGCTATATTGCCTCAAGTCCAGAAATATTATTAATAAATAAGAGAATGGAAAAGGAAATGAATAATGAAAGGAAAGCAAGTAACTAATTTACATAAGACTTTAATAGTGGGGTAGGAATTGAGTTTGCTCCATATTTGGTCTTCTAGCTGTAGACTGTTTTTGTCATTCTACATGTTTTTATTCTATGCTCTCCAGTTTTTCCTTATTTTTGCTTTAGATACTTATTATAGTAGCAACAGCCTATATGGAAAATCTGTTTTATTGCATAGAAGTTAAGTGCCTTAAAATACTTTTTACTTTACAAATTCAATCTGATTCTAAATAAATTGGTTGGAAACATCAGCAGAGATTCAGAAGCAATGTTGCCACATTTCCATGAGTAAGATCAAAAATACAAAAATAGTTTTTCATTTACAGATAGAAATAACAAGTAGAATAGGATGTTTTATATTCTCTGGAGAATGAAAGAAGCTTATTAAGTTTAGGGAGAAGCTGTGATGATTTTGCTGTTTCTTTTGTCCAGATTCCGAGAGTTCCTAAAGCAAATCTTCTCTGCCAATCTTCTTGATCTGAGAAACTCCCTTCTGTCTCACTTGTGTGTCTGGTTTCATTTTTAGCATATTGCTTTCCACCAAGTGAAGTGAGGAGCCTCCAAATCTGATTTGTATTTAGAAAGGTGATTCAAGTCATACAGAGTGAATCAGTGCTTCTCTCCATTTTTGTCTTTCTTTACTCTCAGGACACACACTTCAGTAACACAAAAGGAACAGAATCTTATTACATTTTAAACAAATATTCACAAAAGAAAAGAATATAATCTTAAAACTGCTGGGAACTTCAGACCAGCGTATTGAATTTGATGAAATTTAGATTTTTATCACAGGTATATACATGTACTGAACAGTTTTATGAAACATGTAGATGGTTTGTATTATATGATTCAGAAGATGTATTTTCTATTGGTTTTAATTTTTTTTAAGTCTTCATTTGCAGCTAAGTTAAGCCATGCTTAGAAGTAATTTTATTTTGATAGGCTTATGTAGATGATCAGTAAATTAATTTCACTATTTTTAAACTATCAGAACTGGAAAACATTTCAGCAATGCTTTTGAATTAATTTAGATTTATAATAAAACTTTTTCTTATGTGGTAAAGGTTAGTGGAAATTTTTTATATACTATAATTCTTGGTAAAATCATTGCTGTTCATAAAGTATGGAGAAAGAGGGAGAGAGTACTTGGATATATATAAAAGGGAAAAGTCTTAGGTTATTTCGTTTATTTCTCACTTCAACTAAACCAACAATAAGGTTTTAAAACCAATCCTGGGGTTTAAAAAACAGTGGTGAGTGATAGGTCCTATGTTCTACTTGCCCTTTATGCTTCTGGTTTGTGTGTGGGTGGGAGTACCTGAGATGATTATGTTACATGAAACAGTTACAATTTTTTACTTCTGTAGGCAGATCTAAAGTTCTTCAGCTTTCTTTCCTGAAACTATAATCTATCTCAGCGTTTTGCCTTATCATGTCCATAGCAGTTCGTAAAAGTTCAAAGGATCGTCACTGAGGTAGTGATTTTAAATGCAAGCTGGAATAAATGAATTATGGAAGTTGTAGAAATGAAAAGATTTGCTTTAATTGATAGTCATGACTTGAATTGATTAGCGAGGTTTAGAGTTTTAAGTTTACATCAGGGTTTTTTATGGAAGAGCACAGACCTCTTTGTTCTAAGACTCTGTTTGAACTAAGATGCATACGTAGTTTGGTTTCAAGTGAGACGTAAATGACTTAAACATTTTTATTCTTTACTGAGGGAAATCTTTTATGTTTGTTTAAAATGTCAAACATTTCCCACACATTATTTTTTTAGATTAAGTATTAATATATAATAATCTGTCCTCATTTCATTGCATACCCTCGCAAACTTCATTTGAATCCTCTTTAATAGTACATAAATTATGGCTTTAAAAAATATTTTGAGTGGTCATGGTTATAAAGTTCTCCTTTATATTTGATCTGTTAATAATAATGAAGTTATCATTATTCATCATAATGTGAAAGAAGTGTAAATACCTGGAAATATTAAGTAGAAGAAAGGTCATAGAGTAATTCATTTTTCTTGGTTGATGTGAAAATGAGAGTGTCTTTATGGCAATAATGTAAAGCATAGAGTAACTATTTTAAGCATTTGTAAAAATCATTTAGAGCTTTTAAAATATTGGCTATTTGCCATACTGTTTTAATGTAAAACTTACTCTGTATCGCCTGCCTTTGCTCTTCCTTTAAGTTAAATAAATATATTCAGATAAGATTAAAAACATTCTCAGTTGTGATAAATCTACAAATTACTTTTTAGTCCATTGACTATGGCCTTCCTAAACAATTGAAACATTTTTCCTAGAGAGGTAAAGCATTCATAGGCTTTAAAGGTAAAATAGTAATGCAGTTTTATAAAATACTATTTCAGTTATAGGTTTGGCTGAAAGGGGCATTGAGAGAACATGAACTTAGAGTTATAATTGCTTACTTTTAGGAGTAGATCAGATGCCACATGTCATCATGGCATTTCTCTGCTTATAACCCTTCAACAGCTCTCTTTGGTGTGCCAGATAAAGTCCAAAGTCTTTAACTGGTCTGCAAGGCCCCTCCTGACCATCTGTAGGCTTATACTTGTAACTTGTCTTTTACTTCTTGCTTTGTACCATCAAACTGCTGATTTACATAGCTATATTGTTTATTCCTTGAGGGCCTTTGTTCATACTGGTTTTTCTGCCTAGAATATGTATTCCTCTCTTCTTTGCCTAGTAACCTCAAGTTTTCTAGAAAGGCTTCCCATGAGTTGCATACCATATCAAACTGGATCAGATGCCACCCACAGCTCGGAAGTCTCATAAAATACTTATGTATATATTTCTGATTCTAGATAGATACCAATGCAGTCTCCTATTGTTTTATAATTTCTTTTTGTATGTCTGGCTCTTCTAAAATACAAATTCCTTGAGAGAATGTACTCTGTGTTGATTACTTTTTATCTCTGGCACCCTAACACAATACTCAGTGGGTGCTCAGAAAATGTAAGTGGTAGGTGTTTTGAGCTTGAAGTGAAGGGAAGATAGTAGAACTTCAGATCTTTTGTTTCCATTTCTACTGTAACTATCCTACAGCAGATCACCGTCATGTTACACTGGATATATTGGAAAGCCTTCAGACTGTTTTTTTGTTTTTGTTTTTATGTTATTGTTTTTGTTTTTTTTTTTTTTTTGAGACAGGGTCTCGCTCTGTTGCCCAGGCTGGAGTCAGTGGAGTGATCTTGGCTCACTGCAACCTCTGCCTCCCAGGTTCTAGTAATTCTTCTGCCTCAGCCTCCTGAGTAGCTGGGATTACAGGTGTGTGCCACCATGCCGGCTAATTTTTTGTGTTTTAGTAGAGATGGGGTTTCGCCGTGTTGCCCAGGCTGATCTCGAACTCCTGAGCTCAGGTGGTTTTTTTACTCTCTAATTTTGTCACCTTCCAACTGCATCCTTAATGTGTTTCTTACACGGTGGCTATAGTTTTCTCTGTAAATCTAAAATCTGATTATGGCACCTTCCCAGTAGTCTCCAACTATTTTTAATAGTAACATATTGATCTTTTGTGAAAAGCAAAACTGTTTAACATAGTTTACAAATGCCATGAATAATCTCAAAGTAGATTTCCAGCCTTAGACTTTGCTTTTCTCCTCATCACAGTCAGCTATACTGAACATTTTTCAGTCCCTAAGCGTATGCACATACTGTTCTCTCTGACCTGAATACTCTTTGCTTCTCCTTCCACCCCTGCACCAGTTCACCTGTGTAGTAATTTCTGTTCACCCTCAGGCTTCAGCTTCAGAGCCTTCTCTGACCACTCTCCCTTCCACAAGTCTAGGTTAAATACCTCTCATCTGTGCCCGTGTAGCACTCTATACTTACCAGTATTACAGTTCTTATTAGACTATACTGACTGAACTTGACTATTAATATGTCTGTATCATGCATTTTATGGTAAGATCTGTTAACAATAGCAGCAGCAGTAACTAATTTATTGAGCACTTGTACTTTATATATAACCCAGGTACTGTGCAAAGTAAATATCACCTTATTTTACAAATGAGAAAAACCAGCCAAAGAGATGAAATACCCAAGGCAAACAGTTTATAAATAGCCAAATCAGAATTCTAACCCAAGTCTTTCTGACTAGGCCCAGGCTCCTAACCACTACACTATGTTGCCTCCTCCGAACTGTTTTTATGGTTTGCCATTGTGTCTGCAGCACCTCAGCACACTGATCAGCAGGTAGTAGGCATTTAATAAATGTCAACTCAATGAATGAATGATTGGTAAAACCAATATGAGGAAATAAAGACTTGAAGGTAGATTTTAAAGTGTGAATTAATTCATCATCATAGCAGTGTTTAATGGGGAAAGTCCTACTGGGTTGACAACTTTTTAAAACTCAAAAGAAGTAGAAGCAATGGAGTCATGGGCCAGAAGATTGAGGAGAAGAGTAGTGACAAAAAAGACACATATGGTAATGTTTGGTGACAATCTTATTATTACCAATAGTGACTGATTATCATTAATAAAAATATATTACTTCCCTGCTTTCAACACCTTCTGTATCTGGTATTTACATTGAAATAGCCAAATAGAAGTTTAAGGATGAAAAATATTAAACCTATTTATATAGGTACGTCTCCTTGGAACATTGGCCAAGTAGAATAGTTTTCTTTTGGTGCTTCTTCCACATTTAGCCCTAGTTATTCAGATTGGATAGATAGTATTTGTAGCCATTTTTTAAATGACTGTGTAGATTAAAAAAATATGTGTGTAAGCTTGGTGTCATGGCTTACGCCTGTAATTCTAGCATTTTGGGAAGCTGAGGCAGGAGGATCAGTTGAGGCCGGGAGTTCAAGACCAGCCTGGGCAACATAGCAAGACTGTGTGTCAATTAAAAACAAAAAAAAAAATTTTAGAAAAAAAAAATGTGTTAACTAATCTGGGGAACAAGCTACCCTATGGATAAATCTTTTTTTTTTTTTTTTTTTTGAGGCAGGATCTTGCTCTGTTCACCTAGGCTGGAGTGCAGCGGCGTGATCACTGCTCACTGCAACCTCGACCTCCCAGGCTGAAGTGATCCCCCCACCTCAGCCTCCCAAGTAGCTGGGACTACAGGTGTGTGCCACTACACCTGGCTAACTTTTTAATTTCTTTGTAGAGACGAGGTCTCACTCTGTTGCCCAGACGGGTCTTGAACTCCTGGGCCCAGGCAGTCCTCCCGCCTCAGCCTGCCAAAGTGCTGAGATTATAGGTGTGAGCCACTGCACCCAGCCAAACAATTCTATTTTTGTAGAATAATCAATTTCCTTTTAGCCTAAATTTAATTAGACACCATTTAACGTGGCATTTGTTTTATGAAATCAATTTATGCTGTCTCTTTTCTAACAAAGCAAATAAACTCTAAACATGGGGTTATTATGTTCATCCAGGAGCATTTCATACTACTGAAGCTGAAGCTAGTTCTCAGAGTTTGACTCAGATATATGCCTTACCTGAAATTCCTCAAGATCAAAATGCTGCAGAATCGTGGGAAACCTTAGAAGCGGTATGTTAAAAAATGTTTTCTTTTTGGTAGTTGTGAGGCATAAAAGTAACTTCCTCTCCCTTTCTTTTAAAGGACTTAATTGAACTTAGCCAACTGGTCACTGACTTCTCTCTCCTAGTGAATGTAAGTATATAACTGTTTTGGATGCAGAATTGTTGGATTATTAGAATGAGAAGCTTTTATAATCACTAGGCTTTTAATTAGAATTTTAATAGAACTTATAATTTTTAAGACTGGTATTAAGCCATAGATAGAAGTTTAACTGTTCTCAAATTCCAGATTAATTCAAGAAACTTTTATTAAGCACTTGTTATATACAAGCAGTGTGTTAGATGCTTAACATTGAGAGTGTGGTCAGGTTGGATATAGAAATAAATGAAGCCCATTCTCTGCCTTTGAAGATTCTTGTTTTTTGTGTTTTTTTTTTTTGAGACGGAGTCTCACTCTGTCGCCCAGGCTGGAATGCAGTGGCACAGTCTTGGCTCACTGCAACCTCCGCCTCCCAGATTCAAGCGATTTGCCTCCCTCAGCCTCCTGAGTAGCTGGGATTACAGGCACGTGCCACCATGCCCAGCTAGTTTTTGTATTTTTAGTGAAGACGGGGTTTCACCATGTTGGTCAGGCTGGTCTCAAACTCCTGACCTCATGATCCACCCGCCTCAGCCTCCCAAAGTTCTGGGATTACAGGCATGAGCCACCACGCCCTGCTGCCTTTGAGCATTCTACAGTGAGTGGAGATAGGCCTGGACCCCAGAAACTGAGCTTTCAAGCATGATGGCTAAATGCAAAAGCAAGAATGAAGAGAGGTATTATCAGCTCCAAGGAAAAGCATTTAATTCCAAAGGAAGGAGGCAGGAGTCATAAGGTAGAAAGAAGCATTAAGGATAGCTTCACACAGGTAGACAGTATTTGTATGAGCCTTGAAAAATGAGTAAATATCCACTGGGGGAAGTTATGGAGTATATTTGAGAAGCTGAACAAAGACATGGAGTAGAGAAGTGTATGGCCTGTTCCAGATTGACAAGTACTGCAGTATAACCAAAGCATAAGGTACCATGGGCAAGCAAGGAGGGTGAGGGCCAGATTGTGATGGCTTTGAATGCCATGCTAAAGAATTTGAACTTTACTTTGTGGGCATTAGAAAGCCTAATACTGATTCTTGAGCAGGTTAGAGTCATGCAATTCAGTCTGTGCTTCAGAAAGATCACTGTTGGCTTTGTGAATAATGGCCTAAGAGAGGAGGAGGTCATGGAAAGGAAGACTGGTTAGGAATCAATTGCAAGAGTTCACCTGGAGCAATGGCAATACCAGTGTAAAGGTAAAGGACAGCTGAGAGATATTTCTGGGGGACTTAACAGAAATTGGAGGAAGATGGAGCCAAAGATAAGGAACATTGTCTTTATTCTGCATAATTGGGTGTCAGTGATACTGTTAACATAGATTAGGAAGCACAAAGTCAATTTGTTGGGAAAGATAGATTTTCCACCATTTTTCTAAATTGTTCTTTTTGTCTTTCTCAGGAGTTATGGGAAGGTAGGATGTATGAATACGTGTGTATGTATATTTATGTATGTGTGTCCACACAGGCATACCTGTTTCTGCTTGCAGTTCTGTCTAGGTTTAGTTCTTTGTTTCTGATCTAACCATGATTTTGGGGTTATCTTTGAGTTACGGTTTCCCTGAGATCTAATTTTAAATGAGAAGTTCCTAGATCACACAATCAGAATTGGAATGAGAAAGGACTCAAGAGGCCAACTAATCTAATCCCTCTACTCTTGCCCCAATTTCTAAAATAAATGGTCTTTTAGCCTCTTTTGGAACAATTACAGCACAAGGATATTGATACTTAAACTATTGCATTTGGAGGGTCTAACTCTTAGAAGGGTTAGAGTTAAAAGTGTCTGCCCTATAATAACTTCTTTTTGGCATTTTTGGCCTCTAAAGCTACGTACTGAACAAATTTTGCCTTCTTTCCATATGAAAGTCTTTCAAGGTTTTGAAACCATCATCTTTCCTCACTCTATCCCACCCCACCATATTTTCTTCTCTTCAGAACCCTTGCTTCTTTTGCATTCCTTCTACAATATAATTTCTAGGCTTCTCAATACTGGCTTCTTACTATGCTTATGTTCCATATTCTGAATATTTTCTTGAAATGTGTTACCTAAAATTGAATGCAGTAAATTGTTTGAATTGCTTCTGGATGCCTCTAAGTTAGAAGAAGCAAAATATTTGAAGTTTCTGGATTAGGTATCTGTACAATATTAATATACTCGCAAACAGAAGGAAATAATAGAACAAGAATCCCAAAATATCTGTTGTTTCAGAATCAACATTTATTCAACTATTGTAAACTAATAATCTCTGAATCCAGTGCAGTTTGTAAAACCTATACATGTATGGTTACACAAATATATACACTTGCCAAAAGTCATTGGTCTGTACACATAAAATGTGTTTTAATATATGTAAATTATACCTCAATAAAGCTGATTTTAAAAAACAAACTACACATGTACAAAGTTCTTACTCAGTACAAACACATTTCTTTTCTACTGGGATAGGCACATAAAAGAAATATTAAAGGTCTGTGACCATAAGATAGTTACATGTTTGATTATATTATGTAAGCAGCTCATAACCTCTAATCTAAGGGAGATTTGTGTAGGAAAACTCTGGCTGTAGCCACAGCTCTATACAAATGTCCTGTTTGTAATAATCTGTTTAAGTACATGAGACAGAATGCTAATAAGCAAAAGCTCAAAGGAGAACCCCTGATTATTATTCCCAGGGTGACTAAGTTCTCATGACCACATGGCCAAGGATTCACAGAAGCTCTATTTAGGCACAGAATGACCTAGGAACATAACCAGAGTGACCACATCCTCTCATTATCATCACATGGACATGATAGTGTCTAGACAAATTAACCATGTATTTAAGGAACACTTTCTATCTGCGTAGCACTGTGCTAAGCTTAATGAGGAATAGAAAAAAGCATTTAAAAAACTTACAAGATAGTAATAGTGGTTGCACAATATTGTGAAGTTACTTATTGCCACTAAATTGTACACTTCAAAATGGTTAAAATGGTAAATTTATGTTATATTTATTTTACCACTATAAAAAGAACTTACAAAGCCATTGACAGATCAAGGTATAGTACAATAAATGTTAATAAATTAATATCTACTAGGTACCCTGCTCTATTTTTCTTCAGCCTTTGTTGTTCAAGTGCCCTCTTCTCTCCCTATAACTTTGTAACTAGCCCTATTTCTAGTCAAGGAGAATTTAAAGAACCCTGGGCCAGTAGTTCAGTAACAACTCACCCTTGCTGCTAGTCTGTTTTGACTTCTGCCTTTTGCCTTATTCCCTGTCGTTTTTGTAATCCAGTTTTACTCTGGAAACATAAAAACTGGTTGCAATGGATTAGATCAGATTCCTTCATTTATTACCTATGTGACCTTCAGGATGTTATTTGACAACAATGAGCTTTATAACACTGATGGGAGGACTAAATGAGGTAATGTGTATTATTAAGTACTTCCCATTCTGTTCCCTTCCACTGACCCCAACTGCATTCCCACTTTTGTCCTTCCTTTATTTTCATTCCTTGTTTGGCTCCTTGCAAAAATTCTACTTTTTCCACCACTATTATCCTTAGGCATTTTAGTACTGGAATTCCTTCAGTCCCTTTCCAACTGCTGAATCCTCTGTTAGCAACATCCTACTTATCTACTCTGCTTATTGCTTACTCGAAGCCAATATAATCACTTATTTTGCCTATATATCATAGTATTTATAAGTTTGTTTCTGGGCCTTTTTGTGTATATGATTGCATATGATTAAGGAGTATATAGAATATATCATAGGAGTTTAGAACCAGAATAGCTCAATGTGAACAGGATTGGTCAAGATCTAAGATTAGAACTTGGCCTTGAAGGCTGGCTGGAATTTAGAGAGGAATAAATGGACGTACCTGGAGTTTTGGTATTACCCTCTTAAATAAACTCGTAGCTTTCCAAGAACCTTAAACTTTACAACTACTATCAGAACTCTCTATGGAAGACCACTGTTAATGATATAAATGGATTTGGGGGTTAATTTTTGAATGTATTATTATTGCTTGACATAGAGGATGCTAGGCCTACAAGTGTCCCCAACAGGCATTCAAGAACAAAACAGTTCATTGGTTTTGAATTTATATTCCCAAATTGCATTCTGCTTGACAAGTATAATAAATCACAGTTTATACAGAAACTTAGGTACTCCTATAGCTGTTCGTCAAGATTTGTTATGTTCAGGCCAATAGGGGGACTTAATTCAATGTTCTTTAAAATGAAATCCGTAGACATATTCTTAGAGTCATTTGAGAATTTTCTTTTTCTGTAAAAGGAGGTCAGTATATTACTCTAGCTTGAGAAACACTGCAGTGTAATGAGCTAAACACTTAAATATGGTTTAGCTCATTGTTAAAGGAATGCTGAGAACATATATGGGGTGCCAAACTATAAAATGGCAGGTATGGAATTTGAAGATTGTCAAATGTGGGAGGCCTAAGCAGATGAAAATAAACATGAGCAAATCAGAAGCAAAACCTCAGGGGAGATTGATAGATAGAGGTTAGGAGGCTCCTGCACCACCATTAATGTTTAGAGCTTGATTTCACAGGCTGGGGCAGGGTTGTATATGTATCTTTTGGTCCCACAAAAAGAGCCAAGGACATAGTGGACAGGTAGTGACCCAATTCAGCTCTGTATGGAGTCTGGTTTGGCATTCTGCTGATGGTAATTGACAACTCTGTGACAATAGTTTGCTGCCTAACTGTAACCTTTGTGGGGGTCAGTGAGTCCTCCTTACTCAAGAAGCAGAATTTGAAGATATGGGCAAAGTTTGAAGTTGCAAACCAAGCAAAATACGGACAAGAGAAAGGCAGACGTGCACAATCGAGGGGTGATTATTGATCCCAGGATAGGGGCTGTCTGCCCTCTGCCTTATTCCCACACCCCAGCCCCATATCTTAGCATGCTTTCTGATGGCATGAATAAATACTTATAGATGTGGGCTACTCCCCAGGGTGGGATGGGCCTCATCAAATGCTGGTGATTGCAATGATGGGGAACTTTGTAGTTCAAATAATTAGTGATCTCAGGATTGGTTTTTTGCCTGTGGTTGCTTCTTCAGTTATTCCAAATGATTTTTATGAAAAAATATTTAAATTATTTTAAAATTTTGCTTTAATTTTTAAAAAGTCATAGAAGTACAATATCCAACCCTTTTTAAAGGAAGGAACATTAGAAAGTATTTCCCTGAGGCTTTACGATTACACTTGGGGTATAGAAATGGCAATAATCCTGGCAGGCTCCTCCCTCTTGCTGGAATTATTTTGGGGCTGAAGGAAGGGAGACACTGACTATTTTTCCTCTACCTTTCAACTCATCAACATATGACGGCTGATGGTAGAGTTTTAAGCCTGTGATTTATCTGCTAGCATAGACTGTTTCAGGCAAGAGTGGAAAGTGTTGGGGGTGTCCTAAATAGAAACAATGATAGGGTGTCAGAAATCTAGACAAGTTGTATATTATTAGTGCTGGAACTTTTTCTTCTATGGGTCAGAAAAAGAAAGCTGACTTAAATAAGTTTTGCTATTGAGGAAAATAAAAATTGAATGATTGAATGAATGCTAAAAGATACCTGAAGTTTTAGTGTCCTAGAATTTTCAAGCACCGAAAGAAAAAGTTAAATATATTTTTTGATAGAGAGATGAGAGTTAACACTTCCTTGGGGAAATTAGGATAAATTTTTCTATTTTTCCCCCCTCACACTTTGCAAACACATTTTATCCCCACTTCAACTCTATGAAGGTATAAGTATCACTATTCTTACTTGATAAATGAGAATACCAACACCTAGAGAGCTTGAGTAATTTGTCTAAGAGCACATAGTGGCGTTTGCTGAGATTTGAACACAGATTATCTGACTAAAGGTGGTGCCCTTGATCTGAGCACATATAATAGTGGTTCTTAAAGTGTGAGAATTGTGGACTGGCAGCATCAGCATCACCTGGGAGCTTACTAGCTCAGGCTTCATCCCAGGCCTACTGGATCAGAAACTCCGGGGATTAGGCCCAGCAATCTGTGTTTTAAGAAGCCTCCAGGTGGAAGACTGAGAACCATTGTTAAAGTTGTCTCTCACAGAGACATTCAAAGGAAAACTGATAAGGGACTTTCTTAGGCATTGTTTTAGAGATGTCAAGATAGTGGTGGAGAATATTGGAATGAAGGGATACCACAATGGCGAAGATAGACATATTTTGTGTATGAGAAGGGAAGTAATATCAGTAATGCTAAGAGGAAACAAACATGGGGAAAAAGTAGCTGTGTGGTTTGGGCTTCATGTTTTCAAATGAAATAATGGTTGGAATTAGAAAAGTGTTGTATGTGTCTGCCTCAATATAAATGAATAGGCCAATTATATAAGGGCAATCAAACACTTCAGGATTAAAGTTGAATTATTTCACCCTCATTGCAGGTGGCATCTATCTAGGATCAAAGAGAGATTCTCTTTTTTCTGCACATTAAAAAAACAAAACCAAAATAGTCTGTAAACTGTGATGGTTGATTATATGTTGGCTTATACATTTGTTGTTTATACATTTGTGATAGTTGGTTTATACATTTGCTAAATTTCATCATACTATACCATTAAAAGCAGTACTTGTTATATGTAAATTCTATCTAAATAAAGTTGAATTAAAAATGGGAATGTGTTCCTACAGCAAGTAATGAGTTCGTGTCACTGGAGGTATCTGAGCAGAGGTTCAGTAACCACTTGTCAGGAATGTTACAGTAGGGCTTCGCACATCAGAGAGGAGATTGACCTGATGACCTCAACATTCCTTCTACCCAGAGATTCCATGAGTCACAGTTGCTGTTGTGCCAGCACAGGTGTTGCCATTTTATGTAGAATGCTTTATTAATATATTTGATCTGAAACATTTTAAACTGTCATGATTTTAAAATGTATTAAGATACACAGGTGTAAAGCACAGAACAGTGATTTCATTCACTGTTCCCTACTGCATATTACAAATGGAAAGATCTCATAATAGATCAAACCGTATTGTAGTCTTGTTCCTGAAACATAACAATTTGTATTTATTGGACCAAGGGCATTTTACTCCTAAGGTAAATGTGCCTGATTTAAACTGAATCCTCAAAGAAGGTAAGTTAGGGAGGTATTTTGGGGTTTGATTTTGTTGGGTTTTTTTTTTCCATCAAACCCAACATGACATGTAAATGCTTATTTGGATTTTTTTTTTCTGGAAAGTAGATTCATTTGGAGAATAATATGTTTGTATGTTTGAGTGAATTTTAGCGTGAGATGCTTTTTGCTGTAAAGTTGCCACCCTTTTATTACCTAATAATTAAGACCCCCCCCTTTTTTTTATGAAAGTTAATTTGTCCTTTCGACATGGCTTATCAGATGCTATTAATGAACCACTATTAAGATGGCAAGGCTGCAGTACCCAGGGCCCTGATTACAGGAATTAAAATAGTGTGTGTTGGCTCCCTGCTGCTCCCCAGCAGGACCGCTCACTCATAATTCCTTTGCATCTAGTCTCAGCAGGAGAAGATTGACAGCATTGCAGACCATGTCAACAGTGCTGCTGTGAATGTTGAAGAGGGAACCAAAAACTTAGGGAAGGTAAGATTCTGCTCCTGCTGACAAATCAATGGTACTCTGGCTCCCAGGAATCTCTAGTATTAACCCAATTGATCTGCTCTCTTCAATGTTGAGGGAACCAGCAATTAAGGAAATAAGGAAGAAATGACACATAGGTAGTGTAAGAAATCAATGTTGTAATATTCTACTCTAAGATTCATTCTATCAGGAGAGGAATTTCTTCAAAGAGAGAATAAACTGTAGCTCTGCTGTAAGGCATTTGGTGTTACCAGGGAATATTTGCAGAGGGTAAAAGTGTAAGTATGTGACAGCACACATGGAGTGGGACCATCTATTTTCCATAGGATGTTGCTTTTAACCCCAGGCACACAGCACTGAATAATTTCTGTGCAACATAAAAGCTTTGGGGGAAATCTGTGGCTGCCGAAACAGTTTAAATAAGCCAGCTAGATAGTTAGTGAATTGATTGTTTTGCAAGTAAAATCAATTTGTAGCAGTCCACTCTTTGTAGCTCAGCTCTCTAAGTTCTGAGATCTGGAGCAATTGCAGTACCTGTGGAATACTTTCTTTTCCCCCCTACAAGTACAGTCTCTAAGGTTAATTATGTACCAAGAGTTAAAGAGGCATTGCCAGGAGTAATGAGAGGAAAACGCACATCACCACAGGCAGATATTCTCAACTCAGTTTCTAAATTGAATTTTTTTTTTTTTTACAGGCTGCAAAATACAAGCTGGCAGCTCTGCCTGTGGCAGGTGCACTCATCGGGGGAATGGTAGGGGGTCCTATTGGCCTCCTTGCAGGCTTCAAAGTGGCAGGAATTGCAGCTGCACTTGGTGGTGGGGTGTTGGGCTTCACAGGTGGAAAATTGATACAAAGAAAGAAACAGAAAATGATGGAGAAGCTCACTTCCAGCTGTCCAGATCTTCCCAGCCAAACTGACAAGAAATGCAGTTAAAAACCAAATTTCAGTATTATTGGTGCCAACATGTCTATCCTGAGGACCTTTGCTGCTGTTGGACACTCCGTCACCTTTTGGAACACAAGTATATCAAGATAGTGGCTACTGATGTTCAAGTGGGATTGAAGTGTGATAAATGGATATATTTTGTTGTTTGCTGGGGTGTTCATGGAGATGTTAAGAGATTGAGGCCCTGGGCTGAGGGTATATAATGTATGTCAGGTAAAGTTTGAAGACTGCCAAGGAGCAGATTTTCTCCCTGGAAATGTGAAAACTGAACCTATAACTCTGATAAGGACTTGAGATGTGTAGAAACGTTGGGTTATGGAAGACTAGTTTCTTCCATAACCCTGAATTGGAGACCTTAATGCTAAGTGTAGATTATTGAGGTTTGTTAGTGAGGAAAAGAATAAGAGTTCAGAAGCCTTTGTTATCAGATAGCGAAATCAGGGCCTAGTGAGGAGCACAGGTCGACTACATAATGGAGTCCATTGGCGAACCCTATTGCAATTTGGTCCAACTATATCTTCTGGTGAAGGAAATTAATGATGTAAGAAAATGCAAGAGGCTCAACTTCTCTTCCAAAAATCTTCTGGCTTCTGAACTCTTCCTCTGCCTCTCTTTAAATAAATAACACAGAATTTCAAGTGGTAGGAGACTTATTAAGCCAGTCACCAAGCTTGGTCTGTCAGCCTGTCTTCTAACACCTCAAAGATCTTGTGCCCTGTGCTGTCCCTCCCTTGTAATTATGAAAAGTTCTTTGGTTTCTGGGGTGAATTCTACCCATGTATAATGAGGAATTCTCTCATAACCTTTTTTGTCTTGTCTGTCATCTCTGTTCATCCCTTCCTATAACCTCTAGGTAAAAAGAAAAGAAAAAAAGAAATTTCGAGATATTTTCAACATTGTTAGAGTTTGGGCTAAAATGAGCAAGGAGAAAAAAACCACCAAGAACATTTCCTGGGGCATGTTCCAGTTTTGAGGGGTGATATATCTGCCAGATAGGGGGTATCTGACCCAGTCTTCTTTTCAGCTGGTCTCTGGGGGGAGCTGAGAACTCGCTTGCTACCTCACATCCTTTTCCCCAGACTTTTTATCTCCTATGCATCCCTTTGCTTTCTATAGCTGGTGTTTCTTCCCCAAAATGGCGTTCCCATGCTTACCTTTCTCACATTCTAGACAATGATGGACAAAGACGCATGCAAGACTCAGACCCGGGGAATGGTGTGGTGCTAATCTCAACACCTGACATTCACAGCAAGCATGGCCCAGCCCAACTGCATGTCTATCTCAAACCGCAGAAAGGCTTTAATACTGGAAAAAAAGAATTCAAGACTACAGGCAGCTCCCCTCTGTACCCCAACTCATTTAAAATAGGAGGAATCACTTTTTGCCTTACTTAACGCTTTTTTCTGAGCACAGGGATGGGCACCTGCACCCCAGAAGGTGTGAGCTGTCTCTCTGCCAGGAGCTAAGGTTCATTAGGGGATTGGATGGTTTATCACTTCTTTCTTTCTGAGTTTACTTTTAGTAACTTTTATTGATGGCTACCTTTCATGTCCCTGTCTAAAGAGACTTTCTCTTTCATACGTCTTAAATCTCATCAATGAAATCCAGTGAAACAGCACCATTTCTTAGTATCATTAAATAACTAGAAAGTATCAAGTATTGCTCTCTGCTGCTTTATATCATTAACATATTAATAATACCAAGAAGGAAATACTTTGAATAAGTGTCAGATTCTGATCCAGTATTGGACACCTGTGATATTGGACACCTGTGAGGCTGGGATAATTACTTTTGAATTACACCTCTTCTCTAGTTTCTGGACCTTGCTCTGTCACTTTAACACAGGGTGATCAAACCTGAATGAGGATCAGAACTCACCCAGGCACATACTAAAGCAAGATTCCTAAACCTCAGTTCCAGGGGTAATTCTGACATCACCCGTCCAGCATAGTCAGCTGAAATTATAAATCTAAGAAACAGTTACATCAAGATTCTGCTGTGTCATTTAATTCTGAAACTCCCAGTATTCTACCCTTCTTCATCACTGCATATTACCCCACTCTTCCATCCCAAATTGGCTATCCTTTCAGCCCACCAACTTAGCGGCAGCACTAGGGATTCATTATAAGGTAAATCTGGTTTACATAAAGACCTGAAGGAGGCCTGTATTTGAAGCTCACACTTGGTATTGGTATCTCTCATTTTTACTGAGCCAGTGTGGAATACCACTGTATGTACTCATATAAGCCCTTGACTTTTACTGCTCATCAGGATTGGAATATTACTCTAGCAGTCTTCACACATAGGCAAGTTACAGTCCTTTTAAAAAGTATCTCATTTCCCTATAATGGAACCTAATAGCCAACTTTTTCATAGAAATTGCTAGAAGAGTTTGATCAACTATAAATGATAAAGTGTTTATAAGCATAGTCAGTGTGACACAGAAACCAATCTTAAAATTGAATTTAATGTTTTATCATATCAGATTAAATATTTTCTCCATGTCTTATTTTTACTGCAACAAGTTAGAAAGTGGGAACACTTTGATTAATGTCTTAAAATTTGTGGGCCCTCATTTGGATAAAGGCAGCAATCCTAAGGACTTTTTTTTTTTTTTTAACATAATCTGAGAATTTCTCTGTAGAGCAGAGACTTTCAAACCTTTTGGCTGTAACCCACAGTAAAAAACGCATTTATATCAAACCTTAGAATATGTTTAATGAACAATACTTACCATTCTGATGCTTTTTATTGTTTCAGTTTTTAAAATATGCCAGTTGCAACCCACTAAATTGATATCTACCAATGGGTTGCAACCCTTAGCTTGAAAAAAACACCCTCACAGAGGAACTGGTATTTCTTGAATACCTTCTGTTTGCCAGGCACTTCACCAGGCATTTTACAAGTAAGGAAACTGGGCTTCAGAGAAAATAATTTGCAGAGGTTTACTCAACTACAAAGGGGTGAAGCCAGGAATGTTAACTAGGTCTGTTGAGCTACAAAAACTTTTATGTCTCTCAGACTATACAGCCTCTATACAAAATTGAGATGGGGGTTGGGGGCAGGGGCTCATGCCTGCAATCCCAGCACTTAGGGAGGCAGAGGCCAGAGGATCACTTGAGCCCAGGAGTTTGAGACCAGCCTGGGCAACATAGTGAGACTCTTGTCTGTATGAAAAAAATTAAGAATTAGCTGGGTGTGGCATAGCACACACCTGTGGTCCCAGCTACATGGGAAGCTGAAGTGGGAGGATCACTTGAACTCAGGAGCAGCCTTGGTGACAGAACAAGACCCTCTCTCAAAAAAATATTTAAAAAAAGGTGGGTCATCCATTCTCCTTTACCAAACAGGCTTTGAAATGACACATTCCATTCATTTGCATCTTTTTAAAAAACTTCTGATTCCTTACTGAGTGTCCAGCAGCCTCAAAGTTTTTAATGGTAGCTGATGCAGACATAAACAGTGCTCAATTTGGCCCTTAAACTATAAAATCAAGAAAGAGTATTTCAATCCCATCCACCTGCCTGCAAGATTTCTTAATGTTCACTAGTTATAACCATTGTTTAAACAGTGCTTTTTGTGTAATTTAAAAATAAACTTTAATGCTTTTTAAAACAAATTTATCATAATTCATAGATCAAATGATTATCCTTTAAAATGATACCCTTGGGAAATCATGTACTTACTGTAGTGATGCTAGTATTAATATTACTTAGACCAATTTTGAAACTGTTCTTTCAGAATTGCCTCCAAAGACATTTTGCAGATCATCCCAGAAAAGGGGGTATGATGGTGCTGTGTAGAACTGACCAGAGTTCCTGGAGGATTTTGAGGTTATACTGAAACTGAGTGCTGTACAGGGAGAATTGCATGAGTCCAGAAACTTCCTTCTGTGGGCTGCCTGCCTTCCTGCCCTCCCTTAAGTGCTCTAAGATTTTTGTACAGGAGTAAGAATCAAATACTGGTAACATCAATCACAAGAAGTTGAGGAAACCTGTAATATAGCTAGATAATATACAACGTTTGTCTTCCATCAGAGTGCAGAAACCAAACCATGCTTTGTGTTAACCTTAAATATGAAAGGTGTTTCTCAGGGTCCCCTTTGTCCTTCGTTGCTGCCATATGAAATCTTACAAGGAAGGATGAGGAAAAGCCTGGGGGGAGGTTCTCCTCGGAAATGAGGTGGTTTTTTTTGTTATTAAGTAGAACGTGGCTGTGGTTCACAGGTACTTAACGAATGTTAGATGATGTTCTTAAGTAATCAGAGGCCTAATAAAAGGCAGGGGAGTTTCTCTTCTAGCCTAAATTAATATTAAAAGTTCAGGGGTATTTTTTGTTTTTAAATTAATACTTTATTGTTTTTAACAGGTGGTTCTCATAATTTACATTCATTAATTTGATGCCCTTTTACAAAGAAACTTCTTAGGTATTATAAACCATCAATGTAAAGGATCCACATGGTATGTATCCACATTGCTACTCTCAAATAGAAATGGGAGATAAGAAATATATCTGTGCAATATTAAATTGAAAAAAAAAAACCCATAAAAAGTGTCAAAGGCAAATAATTTGCTCTAGATCACAAAACTAGTTAGCACAAGGCTAGGATTATAACCAGGGTCTAGGAAAAAATCCTGAAGGTGATTTAACTGAGTGTTAGGCCCTGTCAAGCCACCTGCTAAGGCTCATGGTCTTTCAGACTAGCTTCAACATTCCAAATCAGGCAATAGCTACAACGGAAAGATAATTGGACGGGGAATCCTGAGATCAGAGTCCTAGTTTGGCTTTGTCTCTTGTAGCAGGATTTTTTAAATCAGGGGCAGCTCTCTTCTCCCATCCCAGCCATGAATCTTTCAACCTTAGTGGTCACCAACTTGACTCCATTCCTTATATCAAGACTTGTCCTGTCAATTCTCCCTTAAATGTTAGTTGCATCCATTTCTAAATATATCCATGGCCATCACCCTAGTAAAAAGACTATTACCTCACACCCCGCACTTGATCTTCCCCCAACTTTAAGTGACTCAGTTCCTTATATCACTGCCACAAGAATTAACAACCATGTCCATCTTTCATTTTTCTGCTGAAAGATTTTCAGTGGTTCCCACTGAATACCAAATAAAGTTCGAATCCCTTAGATTGGCATTCACAGCCTTCTACGTTCTGGCCCCAGCTTTATCTCTTGAAACTCACTACTCACCATCTGACAATGCCACTAAAAATCCACAAGAGTGATTTTAAGGTTTTTCTATGGTGAAGGTTCAAACTGGTAATAAACCATGTTTACATTTTTCTGGTCTAAAATAATTTCTATATTACTTTATAATAGTCAGCTGGGGGTTATTTAAGCTCTTGGACGAGCCTAAAACTTGTATCCTGAAGAAAATATTTTTTTCCACCAGAAGAAATTGCTTTCAATTTCTTAACCTTCAAAACAATGTCAGTGTTGTCACCTGTGCATTTGATAGCCACAGCACAAGTATTCTTCAGGAGCATAAATCCTCCAGCCTTGAATGGACCATTGTCCAGCTCCTGTGAAAAACTTAATATTTGAGAAAGACATTCAATGGTACATGTTTTCTGTACACTTCATGAGTAGTTGAGATTTTCTTGTATTAAGGTTAATCACTAAAAAGGTGTTTACTTGGGTTTCGTTAACTAAACCCCCTAAAGATGTTTTCCATTTTATTGTTAAACACTTGGTGTTAGCAAGGGTCAGCACGAGAAAAGGCCCAATGGCAAGAATTTCTGCAAACTCTGTAAAGCTTACTGAATTCATTTGTCATTTATTACATTGCTGAGTGGTGCTTGAATAAGGAAACATGCAATAAATTTACTTATTTAACCAACATTTAACTGAAGGCCTGTGGTGTGTTAAGTGCTGGGGCCATACATAGAAAAATACTAGACCTATAGAATCTACCCCTGTAAACCATTCAGGCTAATGAATTCAGATACCTAAAGCAAGTAAATCACAGTAAAACCTGGTAACTGCCCTAAGAGAGGAATGAACAAAGTAATACGAGGGCACACAGAGTGGAGGGACCAAATTCTGCTTGGAAAAGAAGGGGCAGGCTTTGTGGAACATGTGGTGTTTGAGCCGTACCTAAAGAAGAATATGCCTGATTGAAGATGGAGTTATGGACAAAGGGCTCAAAACACAACATGGTGGGCTCACAGAAAACTAAGAAACAAAACGCACCTGAGTGATGAAGATGGTTGGATGGAAATACAGACTAGGATGTGATCTATTTAAAATTTAATACTTCTTTGTTTATAGGAATTGATGTATTGCTTTGTGTCAGATAAGACTATTACTCCTCTGAGTTCCTCATTTTGCCTTCTTGCCAGGGAAGTTAGTATTAAACCTCACATTTGGTGGAGTTCTTGGTATATTTGGCATATTTGCCTTCCTTTCCCACAGGTTGTGCTTTCTTCCCTCTCTGCTTAAGAGATCATCTGCTTAACACTGAATGCCCTCTTTGTTCCTGTTCTAATAGTCATTCCATATTTATTGAAAACCCACTGAGAAAACAGTCATGAAATTTACTTATTAGTGTCCAAGTGCTTCACAATCGTTTTCCATCTCTACATGAACATTTCTTAACCACTGCAATTCATGGCTCCAGTTTTCACTTATGGTTAATTCTGCAATGTTCTCGAACTTCAGAGGGGTAAAATTCTTTCACTGGTGGTGGTGTGATCTCCTCAACTAGACTGTAATCTGCTTTCAGGACAGGGATCACATCATCTTCTTTGAGTACTTCTTGCAATAAAATACAGTGATGAGAAGGAAAAAAGAAACTACATTCCTGTTAGTGATTGTTAGATGACGAGTGATGAGGTAATAGCATGTGAGTTCTGCTCTCTTTTGGGGACATGCATTGAAATATGAAATAGCTTTCTAAGACATATCAAATCCTTACTTAGTACCCACTTTTGTATATTAACAGGAATGAATGATGCAACAGAAGAAATCCAGACAACAACTCCAGGACTTGGAAATCATGAATTTAAATTTTCAGAATTTGCAGGTGAAGATATTTCTATCTCTTTTTCCAATTAAAAGTCATGACTTGGAAGAGAGAGGATATAGGACCTGAATCACTGAGGAAATGCTGTGGGAAAATTTGGACTGACTTATCTTCTGTCCTACCTTAGGATTACTAGGTCAGAATAGCAGGAATCCAAGAAGTATTGATAGTCTGACAGACTAGTATTGAAACAGGATGCAGCAGCAGGAATTTAATGGCCATGTCAAGCAAGCAGGTATTGGCATTGGGCAAGGGTGGGGCTGAAGAGGTAAGCATTTGACAGGATTTGAACCCGGGTCTCTAATGCTAAGGTTCATATACTTATTCCAACAAACAGACACTCAATTAGCTTATAGGAATGAAAAGGAATCAAGTGGCATTAATAGTTCTCCATAGTTCCCTTTCTTTCCTCTATAGGCTTTAATGTTCATAACAGGTTGCTGCCACTTATCAGGGTACACTGGGGGTCAACAATTCAGGATGTCCTTAACTCTTCTTCCTACCTTGACACCTTGCTATCTATCTCACAGGGTGGTTATGAGGATTAAAAGACTAAATTCATATTCAGTGCCTAGAATAGTGCCTGGCTTCTGCTAACTGTGCAAATGTTAGTTGCTGTTACTGTTAGAATTGTTACTATTTTTTCCCAAAGTTTAAAGGAAATGCACATTAATTTAAAAAAGGTATCATGTACCTACAAGAATAGTGTTAGGGAGACACCTAAAATGAGTGGAGACTTGAGAAATACACTAAGAATCCTTAAAATGATTTTTTCAAAAGGCTTTATTAAGACGGTTCAAAGATGACAGATGCCTGGTAGAAAGTGCATCTTTTTCATCTTTATTAAGAATGATATCCAAACATGAAAATATGTAAGATCTGGTTAGGAGCAGGGTGATCATACATCCCAGTTTGTCTGGGACAGTCCTGATTTACATCTGTTGTCCTGGTGAAATTACTAATGCTCCCTTTTCATCTCAATGTCCTGATTTGGATGAATACAATTACATGGTCACCTTAGTAATAAGGGCAATGAAAATAAGTGTGGCATTATTAAAAAAAAGAGCATCTATATTTTAAAAGAATTGATCATTTCTAGGCTCAGATAAAAAACAAAATCCCAACGTTAGTGGGAACGTATACATGCAAGTTAAATTACTACCAGTAATTGTGAAAAACAAGACAATAGAAAATGTTCCAGAACACTGAGCTTGGGCAAAAGGCTAAATTTAAGGCGTAAAAGCTGGATTCCAGAAGCCACAGACCAGGAAATTTACCTTTGAATCCTGGAAAATTTCTGAAATGGACACTTAGTGTTTTAAATCAGAAAGCCGTGCTCATTCTGAAGTCAGAATTGATCACTCAGAATTGATGACCTGTTCTATAATCCTTGCTGTGTGCATAGCCAGGAATGCCATGTTCTATTCCCCTTCCTAGGCAGTAGCTAGGGCAAGAAAACAAGGCATCAGGATTCTAATATTGATCTAATCCTATGTAGGCAAGTTTATACAGGGCACCAGGACAGTAGGCATGTGGTTTCTTCCCTGGTAGCCATGGCAATAAGTAAAACACATGGGACATGTTGTTATTACCTGAGAGGACTAGAACTGTGAGAAAAAAACAGGTCAGCAATACCTAACAATACTTTTATTACAGTAAGATAATAGAATAATGACAGTCTTTATTAATAACAATTCTCCTGGAGAAGAGCCTGATGTGCTTAGGAAAGTATAGCTCTTTCTATTCTGAGCAAGAAAGCACTTCCTCTAGGAAGACTCCCAATTCCCAAGGCTGTACACACCTACCTCCATGTTCTCTGCGACTAACTCACATCCTAGCACCTACAACATTCCATTATTTACACATCTATTTTGCTCCTTCACTCAACTTTCAGCTCCTTGATGGTAGGTACAGTCTCCTTACTGTTAGATCTGTAGCCTGGAAACAGTAGATAATGCTTGCTGAATGGCAGATGAATGGTGTTTTGAAAACCACAACAGGGATATTTTGTCAACTCAAGTCTGTTGCTCCGTGAGGCCAAGCTAGGGGTCAGGTTTACCTCACAGCAAATGTGGAGTTCAGAAATTTTCCAGCACCTCTGCAGGACTCTGCATTACCCAAGAGGGTATTCAGATGTCATTCTGATAGTTATGTATCTCTGGGTTGGTGCGCACTGTAAGATTTTAATCTATTCTAGACAAAAACTCTTAGGACCCCAAAGCCGGATTCAGATACAGGATTAAAGGTGACTAGATTCACCTAAACACGATTTGTGATGGACAGAATCATCAGATAATTGAGATTTGCAGATTAACCAGTAGAGCTCATTCCACTTACGGCGATGCTTTCTTGTTCTTTATTCATTTGCTCACATACTTATTATTTAATTTGGCCTTTTTTTTTTTTTCCATCAGAGATTTCCTGAGTACTTTCAGTGTCACCAAGTGCTGGGATTACAAAGATAGAGGAGTTCGTGCTTTCAGGGCATTCACACAGTGATAAGGAAGAGAGATACGTACACTTCTAACTCTGAATTAGACTGGGTACTCTAAAATCCATAAAGGACTGTGGGATCACAGGGAGTGACAAGTGTTATTAGGCACTAAGGATGAATAGGAGGAATTTACTAAGCAGGGTTGGGGGAAGGGGTCTTTTAGAGAAGCAATTTGTAAGCTGCACTGTTCCTCTTCTGGTGACTCCAAAACCTATTGTTTAAGGGCAGGCCAGCCTTTCCCCAGTGTGTTCTTCAAGAGGGAACTTGGATGCTTGCTTCAATGAAAGGCTGGGTTTGAGTGATCACATGGATTCATATAGCTTCCCATTCTGATCAGTACAATTAAATTACCTGGGAAATAACTTTAAATCTGAAAAATCTAGCAACTGTGGTCATCTAGATTCTGAGTAAAGGGTTTACAATATGATGTTATTTATAACAAAGTGAATTAGTAAAAAGTCTCCAATATAGAAATATTTTATAAATATAATTTTATTACTTGGAAATACATACAAAAATTCAAACACAGCTAAAAAACAGTTGCTAAGCAGAGGTCCTATCCAACCTGGTTTAATGAACATAAAGTTATTATCAGCATAAAACTTGAGTCCTGAAACAACTTACTGTCTTCAGGGTCTTCAAATAATGGGTTTAAAAACAGATAACTGTTTTGTTCTTTACAGCTATTTAAATCTTTCCCCCAAATACAGAGTACTAACATTTGTTTGGTTCATGAGGTTTTATTTTAGAAAAATAGCTAAAGCTATTAGCTAATGATTTGAAAACTGCAGTACGTTTGCTCATTTCCAGTCTTCTGTCACCTTACATTCTCCATGGTTTCTCAAAAATTCCCAACAGTTGTTAATAGAAAGCATTTGCAACCTCCAGCAGCTCTCTAGGATACAGAAGTGTGGGTCTAACAACCTTGAAATCATTTAAGGTGACAACAATTTTTTTTTTTTTACTTTTCATTTTTGCAGTTTCATGTCATTTTATTTTGGTCCAGCCATATCTCCTTGTAGGAGAAAAAAAACTGAGTTATTCTGTTCTTCCTGATTGTCAATCCATTACACTACTTTATCCATTCCTTTTTGCCCTCAGGTTTAAAAAAGAAAAAAAAAAAAGCCTTCTTGACAACCTTAGCATTTTCTATAAATTTAAGCTTATTGTGAGCTTGAACATTTCAAACACTTCTATATTTCACTCTCCTCTCTGTAGCTTTTGTCATGCCAGTTTTCCCTTCTTTTGCAAATGATCTTTGACAACCTGGCTTCATCAGAGAGCTCTGAGATGCCTTAGATGCCCATTCTCTATCTTATTGGCTAGGTTCTTTTAATTTAAAGAAAAAAATAATTTGTAGAATGTCATCTAAAAGTTTCCATCCTTTTATGGTCCCCCTCACAATTTGAAAAACTCGAAGAGGTAGCTGGCTAAGAAGCAGAAAGGCCCCCTTTTGGTTCTGGGGACTCAACCGTGTTCTTCAGTCTGGTCTTGCATCCTCTCTTCCCAGCTGAGAAGCCTGAGGCCCCGAGTAGATCAGATAAACCGGGGAAGACTTCTACCTGAAATGGTCTGATTCACGGTTCAGAGGGGGAACAAGTCTAAATTTGAGACGTGCTTCCACACTATTCTTTCTCAAACTTTAAAGTGAACATACTTCCTTGCTTGCAATCTGTTGATGGATCTCTTCTGCCTACAATATATACTACAAACCCCTTAGTCTGGCACACAAGGCCCTGTGTGACCAGCTCCCATTTCTTTTTCTAGCTTCCCCAACCCCAAATGCCTTACTAAAAGAACTTTTTTCTCTAATGCATTAGGCTGTTTCATACCTTTGCTCAGATTATTCCCTCTCAGCCAGATCCCTACCTCCTGAGAACACCTATTCATCTTTTTAAAGCTCAAAATAAAAATAATGTCCTCAAATCTCTGCAATTGAGTGCTCCTTTATGCCCTCTTTAACCTTTATTTTGTCTTTACATCTATAACACGTTACAGTCATTGTTTACATATCCATATGCCTGACTAGGCTGTGAACAACTCTAGGGCAGAAATAATGCTTTATTCAGCTTTACATCTTTCATCATATACTACAGCACCAAAAAACTTGCACTGAATAAATGTCAGACTGAAATCTGCTTCCCTGTGACTTCCTCAAATCCTAGTTCAAGCCCTGGGATCCAGATAGACAGTGCCAGCATTTCAAATAATATCTAAAGACTGTCCCAGTCCCAAGTCTTCTCCAAGCAAAACAGCCTTAACATCCATGTTTTAAAAACCTTTTTATCCACGCTGTCCTTTCATCCAAGCACTTGAGCTTAGTGACTTTTTATAAAATTAGGCACCAAGTCCTAATGAGTGCTGAGCCCCTCAGGGTAAAAAAGTAACCAAGGTCACTTTGCTTCTCATTCATTAAATAAACGCCTGATGGTGACTACTAAGTGTCCAGAAATTCTAGGCACTAGTGATACAGACATTAAATTTAGTTTCCTTGTCCTCAGTGACTTCACAGTCCAGAGAAGACAATGATAGTGGCAGGGCTAGAGCCTAAGCCCAATATGCATGAATGCTAAGTAATACTTCCTCAAATCAACTCCCTTTTTAACAGCCACTTTATCATCTTAGAGCATACTGAACACGTACTCCTTGAGGCCTTTTTCATAATAACTACTCTCAAGCCAGCTCTCTGCAACCTAACCCTTGAATTGTATCTTTTGTTGATTATTTTTTCAAACCCAGTTACAGGATTACTATATTATTCCAGTTGATTGCATGTGCTGCTCTTGGTCCTGTGTGCTACCTTGTTGAATGTGAATTTCCATGCTGACCCTCACAGATCTGGTCCATAATCTAACCTGAAGACCATAACTCTAACTTCATTTAACTTATTGGTTAAAAGCAATGAGGATAACAGAACTAAGGCCCAACCTCTAGAAAGCTCCATCCTACTTTCTTATTCACAATTTGATACAATACATTAAATATACCCCTTATCACCTTATTAACATTTATTATTTTGAATAAAACTATGGAAACTTTGGATAAATCATGCATAACGAGGAATTATAAGCTGGTTTTTAAAAATAACAATCATTAAATATCCATTATAAATATTAATTTTATTTTAAAAGAATTGGAAGATGTTACATATATTACATACTACATATAATGGCACATGTCAGCCTTTTAAGCTTAAAAATAATCTTTTCCCAAACTGGGATTGATTTATACCCAAGTATAAAATGACCCTTGGCCTATAGCACCAACCCAGGCCCAGAGGAAAAGCCAGTTTTGAACCTGTCTGTCCTCTGGCACTGGGCTTCCTGATATGACACTGAGGGTCCTCTCCCTCTGGTTTTATTCCCTGGCAGTATTGAGGCCTGGCACAGGGACCCATCTTACTGTATGCTGCAGGCCTGGGGAAATCAGGGAATCTAGAGGGGGTAGGGTCCTCTAACCATTTTATAATGAAAAAAAGTTAAATATGTTCCTTATTCTGTGTTTTTGATTTATACAACTATAACAAGACTCTACAAGACAGAAGGAGCTTAAAATTACTGAAATACAATTTCTCTGCTAGTTCTTCTCTTTGGAAATTGAAGTCTCATAATAGGAGGAGCCTTAAAAGTCATCTAGTTCTGATTGGTAGCCTGTTCCACTGTCACCTCCCTGTCCCAGATTTAGGTATAATTCATTCAAAGTTTTAAATGCCATCCATATGCCACATTTTTAGACAAACACAGAAGCTTAATAATACTTTTCATTTTCTTTTTCTTGTTTCATAAGGACAATTCCTGCCAAATGTTCTGTCTTATGACTCTCCTCCACTTCAAAGTATGTTTAAGTTACACATTAAGAATCCAAAAAAATACCACTATGGAATTTTCATAAGCAATATCCAACCAATCAGTAAAACACAGTACACAGTGTGAAAACTTTAATTTATTCCCCTCCCAAGTATCCAGAATGTATATCTCTTTAGCTTTGAGAAATGAGATACTGAAAATACCAACAGAATTGATCATATGAAAGAAAGAAAAGCACATACGACACAGGAAACATCCCTAAGTCCTCCCTACCCTAGTAGTGCAAGTTAATGGTAAGTTTCTGGCAATGTCACCTTTCATTTGATTTATAAAACTTTTACAGGACAGATTTAAAGTGGAGATAGGCCTCTGATTTTTATTTTTAAATCCTAGCAGGTTTTTTTTTTTTAAGAGGCTACTATATTAAATGACAATGCATTTTGAGTCGGGGAGAAAAAAATTAAAAACCCAAAATTTCTTTCTGTTTATTCAAAATAAAAATACACATAGAATTATGAAAATATAGGTTTACTATTTCCACCACGTAGGTTGATGCTGCTGTTGAAAGGCTTACAAACTGTTTTTCAAGTTTTTAAAGCTCATCTCGATCCCTCAATAGAGTATACCTATATTCACTGGGTGCTAGTTTCTGGAAGGAGCTCTCAGGTGGACTGCTTGCTACATCTTGGGCTTGCTACAAAAGAAAGAATAAAACATTTTTATACCAATATAGTTTATGGTGCTATAATATTTTAATAAGTGTATTCGATGAATAGTAGTTCCCCTATAATTATTTGCTTATTAATCAATAAAAGCAACTGTGTGCCAAAGCAAGATATTTAAATGTGAAATCTTGCTTTCCTCATTTCAAATGCTCTTATTGAGATTCTCCAGGGCAGGGTTGCCACAGGGCCATTAACTGTGGGCTTGTTTTACATTTGCTGAGGTGTGGTGGAAGGGACCAAAATACCTGACACCTGGGTGCTTTCCTAGACTAGTCGACAGAGACAGCACAACCCTAGGTTGGCCCAAACCCTTCCCTTCTGCACGTGACTGCTAAGAGAATTAATGGCATCCACTCTGTAGATATTATCTTAGTTATCAATTACCAGGATACCAGAAATTATTACAACTTAGTTGAAATAAAGAGGAAAGCAAACACTTCAATGCTGAAAGAAATTAATTTCTGTAGTATTTTACTTGTGTACCAAGAGCAGACAAAAATACACAGTGAAACGAGCTATTTCCAAGAATTTTAAAGAAAAGGCATAATCCCAGCACTTTGGGAGGCCGAGGCGGGTGGATCATGAGGTCAGGAGATCGAGACCATCCTGGCTAACAAGGTGAAACCCCGTCTCTACTAAAAATACAAAAAATTAGCCGGGCGCGGTGGCGGGCGCCTGTAGTCCCAGCTACTCGGGAGGCTGAGGCAGGAGAATGGCGTGAACCCGGGAAGCGGAGCTTGCAGTGAGCCGAGATTGCGCCACTGCAGTCCGCAGTCCGACCTGGGCGACAGAGCGAGACTCCGTCTCAAAAAAAAAAAAAAAAAAAAAAAAGAAAAGGCAGTGCAGTCTATCCTCTATTTCCAAATTGTGACCTCAAGAGCAGGCCTGATTGTTCTCCTCATTTTAATATCCCCTGTAGTTGACATAGGCACACAGTGCATATATTACATACTATATGTAATGGCACATTAATTCTAACAGGAAGCAATGTGTCTACAAACTTATCATTTGACTTTATCATGTTCCTCTTTCCCAATACATTTTTAATTTTTTCAGTGAGATATATGTTTGGATTAAGCTGAAATAAGCTGAAATTAATTATATTACTATAAAACAAACATTTATTTGGTGCCCTCTGTTAGTACACAAAGATGAACAAATGTAAGTTCACTGTCTAATGAGGAAATTGAAACAAATCAGGATAATACAATAACGGTAAATGACATCTTTTCCTAATCTGATAAAATACTATGCAGGCCTTCTTTTCTGAGGAAAATAATCACCTTTGGGTTATAGCCAACAAGTTTGCCTCCTATAGTTGTTAATTATCAAAAATCTGACCTAATTTTTAAAGGAAAAAGCATGTTGTTGGATTCCTATAGGGAATTCTTGCCTCTGAACCTAATCTCACTCTTAAATAAGGTAAAGAAAAACTCAGTTTTTATTTTCCTTTTATAAATAGAGGTTTTATAGGCAAAATAATGGATTTAAGTTCTGAGCATATGAAATAGAGGGTTTTGGTACATATCTTCCCTCTCGGTATCATGGTAATAGGCATGATAGAAATCATAATCTATCAAAATGCAAACTTAGGGCTGTTTAGTACAGTAGGAACATAGAAATTACTTGTAACAGAAGTTACAAGGTGGAAACAGTAAAATTCTCAGGTAAAAAAAAACATAAAAGAACATAAAATTTTGATAAAATAGTTGTCAAGTATTCTAAATCACAAATGGGAAAGCTGCATTAAACTGTAAGGTTTTGAGCATTATGAATAGTGTATTTGTGAAGGCTCTTAGAATGATTTAGCAAGAATAACAAATCATTACTTTCTTTATAGTGTGGTCAATCTTCCAGCCACAGAGGAAGGCTTGGATAGTTATTGGAATCCACTGATTTCTTCACTGATTTATCTGCTTTAGATTCCTATTTCCTATTCCCATTTGAAGCCAACTATATTTAACTGTTATAGCCATATTCCACAGAGGTCACATCAGAACACTTTTATACAATCAAGAAACTACGTTATAATATTCTTTCAACTTTTCTGAAGACCTAAAGCTTTAAAAATTAATTTAAAAGGTTAATTTCTACTCAGAATTTCTCTACACAAATATTCAGAAGCTGAAGCTCAAGCTGATGCAAGAACTTCAGACCCTCTTTGAGGCTAACTGAAAAAGGGAAAAAAAGAGTTCTCATTGAAAAATAAACAGGAGTCCTACCTCTCCTGGGGCTGTATCAGTTGGGTCAGGTCCATGATGGAATTCTCTGTGCAGTTTTCCAGAATGTAAGTCAAATACGAATTGCTTGAGTTTTCCAGGAATTCTAAAACCAGAGTCAAATAAAATGTAAACTGTTAAAATGGACTTATCTCTATTTTACCAACTTCACAGTATTAAAAAAACTTTTGCTAACCTATAGTCCCACCATCCTACCACAACTATTGCAGGCCAGGTATGTGTGAAACATTTTTACACAGTTGTAAGCATAGTATCCAGATACTCAGTTTTGTATTCTAATTCCTGTACTTGTTTCATAGAAAAATTTCCATGCTTATCATTAAGGCACATTATAGTCTATCAAGATGCTGTACCCCAAATTAACCATTTTTTATTAATGGGCACTTTATATATTTTCCTAAATTACATATATGTAACTAAAAAAAAACTTTGTTCTGCAACATCACACTAAAAATAACAGGGCTCAAGGGAAAAATAGTTAGGGGCTAACCACTGAAAACTATGCAGCTTTGTAACCAAAGCACTACTGCGAACCTATAACAAAAATATTAGCACCATCCAATGTCCACCACCATTTAAACCTAGTGTCAACCAGGTGATCCTCTGCAGCCTTAACGTAAAGCTTGTGAGCCTACTTTTGAGGTTCGGGTCCTTAAGGGCCTTCACTAGACAGTGAAACCAATTTCATCAAATTAACCTGAACCAGGGCATAGCATTTTCATGTTTTTTTTCCTAAACATAGAGGCAAATGTCTTCATAATGTCTTCAAACCACACATGCAACTTCATTGGATAGCTTAATATTGTGAAAAGCAAAGCACTTCTCAAGATCATTAAACTAGCTTTTATTTACACTAACAAGGGGACTTCCCCAGGATTTTCAGTTGTTTTGTTTTGGAGATCTTCATACACCCTTGCGGCATTCTCTTTACGAAAAAGCTTATTCTGATGGCTTCAGGATATTCTGAGGATAATGATATATAAACTGACACAACTTCACTTTCTATGGACACTATTCTCTTAATTACCAATCATGTATGAGCAAATCTGCAGCACAGAAACAATGCACTGTAGCAGACACCACCATACTGAGCTAAACAAATTTATGTACCAGGCTTTCTTCTTTGTAATATTTCCTTGAGTTATATACAATAAAGTAGGATTACTGGGTTAACAAATAAGAGCTTTTGACCAAGTGTGAGCAAATTATACCTATAAAACATCAGTTGGTTTTTACTATCTGTCTACCTGTTTGTTCTTTAAAGTCTTGCCAAGCATGTCTTTTTTAAATTAAAATTGGTTTTGCTAATTTGATAAGTAAAAGATACCTGCATTTTAATTTACATTTCTTCACAAATTAAGCATTTTTTTCATTGCTTGTCTGAATTTATATCTCTGCTCATACGAATTGTCTGCCTTCTGAGATCTTGGTGCTTTAAAAAATTAATTATATATTTTAAATAGAAACACTTTTTCATTCTGTTACAAGAATTAAAATGCAGGTCCATATACACTTTAATTCCTTGGGTAGAATTGATTGACTTTTAAAATCATTATTTTTTTGGTAGCAAACAATAGCTGGCTTGTAGTTAATATTACCAGTTTCTTTTACTTTTTATCCTCTCTTGAGGTCCCGGAAGTGCTGTTTCTTCCCTTCAATAACTCCCACTGAGATGTACCAACCAATAACTTCATTGTATACCCATTTTGGCTCCCCACTAGCTCCAATGCAACAGAGACCAGCAGGTGCCAAATGCACAGTTTACAAATACAAATGACTGTCAGGTAGCTGTATTGACAGAATGCCTCTGAAAGGTTCTCTGGTGCTGAAGTAATTGCACATGCACCAGAGATAAACATTGAGAGGAGATCAATTTAAATTTAATCTGACATCATCTACTGTCACCCACAGCAAGTGCTAAAATATATCCATTCAATCCATAGCATTGCAAATGGGGTCTATAATGTTTAAGATAAAGCCTCTGCTAGTTTGTTTTATGAGGGCCAAAGATTATCACAACTAATACAGTATGAACTGCTTCTGCTAGTCAAGAAATAATTTATGATTAAATCTTAAATGTGAGAAATTCATGAAAACACTCAAAACACATTTTTCCAAGCTGATTTTTTTCCACTGTCAACAGATGAAAGAATGTGTGCAAAAGGAAAAGACGAGAGATAGGATGAATCTGAACTGATGCAGTAGAAAAATAGATTATAAAAGAGCTCTTATCTAGCTTGTGGCCAGAAACTATCCATCATTATTAAGAAGTAACATTCAGTGAATCAACACTAAATTGTCAAGAAAATAGACTACGTGGTAATCTCCTAAACAGGAAAATAAATGGGCCCTTGCCATAATAAATAAAATTATATATATCACGCTTTAGGGCAAAATTGTTCTAATTAGAACACCTAAGTGTTTCCCATCCTCCAGTTACTTTTTTGTTTATTTACAATTCTTTATTTTTAGGTGACACAAAATTTTGACATAGTGAAATGCACAAATGTTAAGTGTATGAACAAACTTTGACAAATGAATACAAGGTAATACGTATTTTTATTTCTTAAAATTTACATACAGCAGAATTCACTTTTTTAGGCTTAAGTTTTATGAGTTTTAACATGTGCATAGCATTTTGCTACCAGCTTCTCAAATCAGGTACAGAACAATTCCAACACCCTTTTTAAGTCAGACTCTTCCATTTCCCATAACCCCTGGCAACTGTTGACCTTCTATGTTGTCATTTCTAGAAAATCATACAACATGTAATTATAAGAATGGCTTTTTTTTTTCACTTGGCATTATTGCATTTGGGATTCAGCCATTTTTGTATGTATAAAAAGATCTGTTCCTGTATCCATTGCTGAACAGTATTTCCCATTGAGTAGATACACAATTAGTTTATCCATTCAAGGACATTCAAGTTCTTTCCAGATTTTGGTGATTATGAACAATACTGCTACAAACATTTGTGCACAAGTTTTTGTGAACTTTGTCTAGAATAAATGCCAGGTTATATGGTAGGTATATGTCTTACTTTTGAAGAAACTGCCAAACTGTTTTCTAGAGTGACTGTATCATGTTGTAATCCACCAGCAATGTATGAAACTTCCAGTTGTTCCACATCCTCATGAATACCTTGTATTATCAGTATTTTAATTTAGGCATTCTAAAAAATATATACTAATGATGTTGAGCACCCTTCACATGTGTTTATCTGCCATCCCTATATCTTCTTTACATTCTATCAGTATCTTTCACAGAACAAAAGTTTTTAATTTGATGAAGACCAATTTATAAATGATTTCCTTTTATGGATAGTGCTTTTGATACTCTAAGAACTCTCTGTGAAACCCCAGGTCATAAAGAGTTTCTCCTATGTTCGCTTCTAAGAGTTTTCTAGTTTTATCTTACATATAGGTACATGATAAATTCTAAGTTAATTTTTCATAGAAGGAAATTCTTTTTTGGTATGAGGACATTCAGTTAGTCTAGCACCATCTCTTGAAAAGACTATTCTTTCTCCACTGAATTGCCTTAGCACCTTTAAAAAAATCTATTACTGGGATTACCCTTCCAAGATGGCCGAATAGGAAGAGCTCCAATCTGCAGCTCCCAGTGTGATCAACGCAGAAGACGGGTGATTTCTGCATTTCAAACTGAGGTACCTGGTTCATCTCACTGGGACTGGTTGGACAGTGGATGCAGCCCATGGAGGGCGAGCCGAAGCAGGGTGGGGCATTGCCTCACCCAGGAAGCACAAGGGATTGGGGGATTTACCTTTCCTAGCCAAGGGAAGCCATGACAGACTGTACCGGAAAAAACAGGACATTCCCACCCAAATACTGCGCTTTTCCAATGATCTTAGCAAACGGCACACCAGGAGATTATATCCCACACCTGGCTCAGTGGCTCCCACGCCCACAGAGCCTTGCTCACTGCTAGCTAGCGCAGCAGTCCGAGATGGAACTGCGAGGTGGCAGCCTGGCTGGAGGAGGGGTGCCTGCCATTGCTGAGGCTTGACTAGGTAAACAAAGCGGCCAGGAATCTCGAACTGGGTGGAGCCCACCGCAGCTCAACAAGGCCTGCTGGCCTCTGTAGACACCACCTCTGGGGGCAGGGCATAGCTGAATAAAAGGCAGCAGAAACTTCTGCAGACTTAAACGTCCTTGTCTGACAGCTCTGAAGAGAGCAGTGGTTCTCCCAGCATGTTTGAGCTCTGTGAACAGGCAGACTGCCTCCTCAAGTGGGTCCCTGACCCCCGTGTAGCCTAACTGGGAGACACCTCCCAGTAGGAGCCGACTGACACCTCATACAGCTGGGTGCCCCTCTGAGACGAAGCTTCCAGAGAAAGGATTAGGCAGCAATAATTGCCCTCCTGCAATATTTGCTGTTGTGATACCCAGGCAAACAGGGTCTGGAGTGGACCTCCAGCAAACTCCAACAGACTTGCAGGTGAGGGACCTGACTGTTAGTAGGAAAACTAACAAACAGAAAGGAATAGCACCAACATCAACAAAAAGGACATTCACACAAAAACCCCATCTGTAGGTCACCATCATCAAAGGCCAAAAGTAGATAAAACCACAAAGATGGGGAGAAACCAGAGCAGAAAAGCTGAAAATTCTGAAAACCAAAGCACCTCTTCTCCTCCAAAGGATCACAGCTCCTCGCCAGCAATGGAACAAAGCAGGAAAGTTGACAGAAGTAGGCTTCAGAAGGTCGGTAATAACAAACTTCTCCAAGTTAAAGGAGGATGTTCGAACCCATCACAAGGAAGCCGAAAACCTTGAAAAAAGATGAAAGGCTAACTAGAATAAACAGTGTAGAGAAGACTTTAAATGACCGGATGGAGCTGAAAACCATGGCACGAGAACTATGTGACACATGCACAAGCTACAGTAGCCGATTCGATCCAGTGGAAGAAAGGGTATCAGTGATTGAAGATCAAATGAATGAAATAAAGTGTGAAGGTTAGAGAAAAAAGAGTAAAAAGAGACAAACAAAGCCTCCAAGAAATATGAGACTACGTGAAAAGACCAAATCTACATTTGACTGGTGTACCTGAAAGTGATGGGGAGAATGGAACCAGGCTGGAAAACACTCTTCAGGATATTATCCAGGAGAACTTCCCAAACCTAGCAAGGCAGGCCAACATTCAAATTCAGGAAATACAGAGAACACCACAAAGATACTCCTCGACAAGAGCAACCCCAAGACACATAATTGTCAGATTCACCAAAGTTGAAGGAAAAAATGTTAAGGGCAGCCAGAGAGAAAGGTCAGGTTACCCACAAAGGGAAGCCCATCAGACTAACAGCGGATATCTCGGCAGAAACTCTGCAAGCCAGAAGAGAGTAGGGGCCAATATTCAACATTCTCAAAGAAAACAATTTTCAACACAGAATTTCATATCCAGCCAAACTAAGCTTCATAAGTGAAGGAGAAATAAAATCCTTTACAGACAAGCAAATGCTGAGAGATTTTGTCACCACCAGGCCTGCCTTACAAGAGCTCCTGAAGGAAGTACTAAACATGGAAAGGAACAACCAGTACCAGCCACTGCAAAAACATGCCAAAGTGTAAAGACCATTGATGCTAGGAAGAAACTGCATCAACTAATGAGCAAAATAACCAGCTAACATCATAATGACAGGATCAAATTCACACCTAACAATATTAACCTTAAACGTAAATGGGCTAAATGCCCCAATTAAAAGACACAGACTGGCAAATTGGATAAAGAGTCAAGACCCAACAGTGTGCTGTATTCAGGAGACCCATCTCACGTGCAGAGACACACATAGGCTCAAAATAAAGGGATGGAGGAAGATCTACCAAGAAAATGGAAAGCAAAAAAAAAGCAGGGGTTGCAATCCTAATCTCTGACAAAACAGACTTTAAACCAACAAAGATCAAAAGAGACAAAGAAGGCCATTACATAATGGTAAAGGGATCAAATCAACAAGAAGAGCTAACTATCCTAAATACATATGCACCCAATACGGGAGCATCCAGATTCATAAAGCAAGTCCTTAGAGACCTACAAAGAGACTTAGACTCCCACACAATAATAATGGGAGGCTTTAACACCCCACTGTCAATATTAGACAGATCAATGAGATACAAGGTTAACATGGATATCCAGCACTTGAACTCAGCTCCACACCAAGCTGACCTAATAGACATCTACAGAACTCTCCACCCCAAATCAACAGAATATACATTCTTCTCAGCACCACATCACACTTATTCCAAAACTGACCACATAGTTGGAAGTAAAGCACTCCTCAGCAAATATAAAAGAACAGAAATCACAGCAAACTGTCTCTCAGACCACAGTGCAATTAAATTAGAACTCAGGATTAAGAAATTCACTCAAAACCACACAACTAAATGGAAACTTAACAACCTGCTCCTGAATGACTACTGGGTAAATCACAAAATGAAGGCAGAAATAAAGATGTTCTTTGAAGCCAATGAGAACAAAGACAGTGTACCAGGGTCTCTGGGAAACATTTAAAGCAGTCCGTAGAGGGAAATTTATAGCACTAAATGCCCATAAAAGAAAGCAGGAAAGATCTAAAATTTATACCCTACCATCACAATTAAAATAACTAGAGAAGCAAGAGCAAACTAATTCAAAAGCTAGCAGAAGGCAAGAAATAACTAAGATCAGAGCAGAAATGGAGGAGATAGAGACACAAAAACCCCTTCAAAAAAATCAATGAATCCAGGAGCTGGTTTTTTGAAAAGATCAACAAAATTGATAGACTGCTAGCAAGACTAATAAAGAAGAAAAGAGAGAAGAATCAAATAGATGCAATAAAAAAATGATAAAGGGGATATCACCACCGATCCCACAGAAATACAAACTAGCATCAGAGAATACTATAAACACCTCTATGCAAATAAACTAGAAAATCTAGAAGAAATGGATAAATTCCTGGATGCATACACCCTCCCAAGGCTAAACCAGGAAGACGTTGAATCCCTGAATAGACCAATAACAGGCTCTGAAATTGAGGCAATAATTAACAGGCTACCAACCAAAAAAAGTCCAGGACCAGACGGATTCACAGCCGACTTCTACCAGAGGTACAAAGAGCAGCTGGTACCATTCCTTCTGAAACTATTCCAATCAATAGAAAAAGAGAGAATCCTCCCTAACTCATTTTATGAGGCCAGCATCATCCTGATACCAAAGCCTGGCAGAGACACAACAAAAAAAGAGAATTTAGACCAGTAACCCTGATGAACATGGATGCAAAAATCCTCAATAAAACACTGGTAAACCAAATCCAGCAGCACATTAAAAAGCTTATCCACCAAGATCAAGTGGGCTTCATCCCTGGGATGCAAGGCTGGTTCAACATATGCAAATCAATAAACGTAATCCATCACATAAACAGAACCAAAGACAAAAACCACAGGATTATCTCAATAGATGCAGAAAAGGCCTTTGACAAAATTCAACAGCCCTTCATGCTACAAACTCTCAATAAACTAGGTATTGATGGAACGTATCTCTAAATAATAAGAGCTATTTATGACAAACCCACAGCCAATATCATACTGAATGGGCAAAAACTGGAAGCATTCCCTTTGAAAACTGGCACAAGACAGGGATGCCCTCTCTCACCACTCCTATTCAACATAGTGTTGGAAGTTCTGGCCACGGCAATCAGGCAGGAGAAAGAAATAAAGGGTATTCAATTAGGAAAAGAGGAAGTCAAACTGTCCCTGTTTACAGATGACATGATTATATATTTAGAAAACCCCATTGTCTCAGTCCAAAATCTCCTTAAGCTGATAAGCAACTTCAGCAAAGTCTTGGGATACAAAATCAATGTGCAAAAATCACAAGCATTCTTATACACCAGTAACAGACAGCCAGCCAAATCATGAGTGAACTCCCATTCACAACTGCTACAAAGAGAATAAAATACCTAGGAATCCAATTTACAAGGGATGTGAAGGACCTCTTCAAGGAGAACTACAAACCACTGCTCAACGAATTAAAAGAGGACGCAAACAAATGGAAGAACATTCCATGCTCGTGGATAGGAAGAATCAATATCATAAAAATGGCCATACTGCCCAAGGTAATTTATAGATTCAATGCCATCCCCATCAAGCTACCAGTGACTTTCTTCACAGAATTGGAAACATTACTTTAAAATTCATATGGAACCAAAAAAGAGCCCCATTGCCAATTCAATCCTAAGCAAAAGGAAGAAAGCTGGAGGCATCACGCTACCTGACTTCAAACTATACTACAAGGCTACAGTAACCAAAACAGCATGGTACTGGTACCAAAACAGAGAGATAGACCAATGGAACAGAACAGAGGCCTCAGAAATAACACCATACATCTACAACCATCTGATCTTTGACAAACCTGACAAACACAAGAAATGGGGAAAGGATTCCCTATTTAATAAATGGTGCTGGGAAAACTGGCTAGCCATATATAGAAAGCTGAAACTGGATCCCTTCCTTACACCATATACAAAAATTAATTCAAGATGGATTAAAGACTTAAATGTTAGACCTAAAACCATAAAAACCCTAGAAGAAAACCTAGGCAATACCATTCAGGACATAGGCATGGGCAAGGACTTTAT
This sequence comes from Homo sapiens, assembly GCF_000001405.40. Lineage (NCBI taxonomy): Eukaryota > Metazoa > Chordata > Mammalia > Primates > Hominidae > Homo > Homo sapiens. The sequence continues at coordinate 99,993,615 of NC_000009.12, forward strand.
GGCTCAAACACCAAAAGCAATGGCAACAAAAGCCAAAATTGACAAATGGGATCTAATTAAACTAAAGAGCTTCTGCACAGCAAAAGAAACTACCATCAGAGTGAACAGGCAACCTTAAGAATGGGAGAAAATTTTTCCAATCTACCCATCTGACAAAGGGGTAATAACCAGAATCTACAAAGAACTTAAACAAATTTACAAGAAAAAACCCCATCAAAAAGTGGGCAAAGGATATGAACAGACAGGTCTCAAAAGAAGGTATTTATGCAGCCAACAGGCACATGAAAAAATGCTCATCATCACTGGCCATCAGAGAAATGCAAATCAAAACCACAATGAGATGCCATCTCACACCAGTTAGAATGGCAATCATTAAGTCAGGAAACAACAGGTGCTGGAGAGGATGTGGAGAAATAGGAACGCTTTTACACTGTTGGTGGGAGTGTAAACTAGTTCAACCATTGTGGAAGACAGTGTGGCAATTCCTCCAGGATCTAGAACTAGAAATACCATTTGACCCAGCCATCCCATTACTGGGTATATACCCAAAGCATTATAAATCATGCTATTATAAAGACACATGCACACATATGTTAATCGCGGCACTATTCACAATAGCAAAGACTTGGAACCAAACAAAGTGTCCATCAGTGATAGACTGGATTAAGAAAATGTGGCACATATACACCGTGGAATACTATGCAGCCACAAAAAAAGATGAGTTCATGTCCTTTGTAGGGATATGGATGAAGCTGGAAACCATCATTCTGAGCAAACTATCCCAACAACAGAAAACCAAACACTGCATGTTCTCACTCACAGGTGGGAAATGAACAATGACAACACTTGGACATGGGGCAGGGAACATCACACACCGGGGCCTGGTGTGGGGTGAGGGGAGCGGGGAGGGATAGCATTAGGAGAAATACCTAACGTAAATGACGAGTTAATGGGTGCAGCAAACCAACATGGCATACATATACATAAGTAACAAACCTGCACGTTGTGCACATGTACCCTAGAACTTAAAAAAGTACAATTAAAAAAAAAATCTATTACCATACTTGTATGTCTATTTCTAGACTCTCTCTCTTCCATGGCTCTATGTACCTACTCTTTCACCTATACTACACTGTATTAATTACCTTAGATTTATATTGTGTCTTAAAACTAGGTAATGTGAGTCCTCCAACTTTGTTTCTTTTTCAAAACAGTTTTAGCTATTCTGGTTTAACCTTTCCATATAAATTTTAGAATCTGGTTGTCTATATCTACAATGAATCTAGCTGAGATTTTGACTGGGATCACATTAAATTTATAGGTCAATTTGACTGTATCGAGTGTTGTAATCCATCAACACAGTATACTTCCTCGTTTATTTTGGTTGTCTTGGATTTCCTTCAGCAGCATTTTGTAACTTTCAACATACAGATTCTGCACATGTTTTGTTTGATTTATACCTAGGTAGTTTTTTTTTCCCCCTCCTTTTGGAGCTACTATAAATGGAACTTAAAAAAAAAAATCCTGGTTTCCAATTGTTCATTGTCTTTGTATAGAAATAAAAGTGATGTTTTAAAAAGTTAACCTGTATACTGCTCAAATCACTTAGTAGTTCTAGGAGCTTTTTAATAATTTGTTGGTAATTTCTATACAGATAATCATGTTATATACAAAGAAAGTTAGTTTTATTTATTCCTTTCAGGTCTGAATGCCTTTCATTTATTTTCTTGTTCTGCTAGGATTTCCAGTAAAATACTAAAAGAAGTGGTGAGATTGAACATCTTTGCCTAGTTCTCTATCATACAGGAAAAGCATTTGATCCTTTATCATTAGATATGACATTAGCTGTAGGTCCTTTATAGATGCCCTTTGAAAGACTGAAGTTTCCTTTTTTAAAAATCTCCCCAATCCCCATAACCCCCAGCCTCTGGTAACAACCATTCTACTCTCCACCTCTATGAGTTCAACTTTTAATATTCTGCATATGAGTGAGATCATGCAGTATTTGTCTTTCTGTGCTTGGCTTCTTATTCCACTTAACATACTGTTCACTCCTAGTTCATTCATGTTGTTACAAATGACAGGATCTCATTCTTTTTTAAGGCTAAATAGTATCCCATTGTGTATATATAGCACATTTTCTTTATCCATTCATCTGTAGACAGACACTTGGATTGATTCCGTATCTTGCCTATTGTGAATAATGCTGCAATGAACATAGGAGTGCAGATATTTCTTCAACAGATTGATTTCCTATCTTTTGGATAGATACCCAGTAGTGGGATTGCTGGATCATAGGGTAGTTCTTTTTTTTTTTTTTTTTTTTTATTTTGAGTAAACTCCATACTGTTTTCCATAATGACTATACTAATCTACATTTCCACCAACAGTGTGCAAGGGTTCCCTTTTTTCACACATCCTCACCACCGCTTTTGTCTCTTTTATAATAGTCATCTTCTATGGTTTGCATATGGTTGGTTTGTCTCCACCAAACCTCATTTTGAAATTTTATCCCCAACATGGAGGTGCTGGTAGGTGGTGCCTAATGAGAGGTATTTGGGTCACGGAGGCAGATCCCTCATGAATGGCTTGGTGCCACCCTCATGGTAGTTGAGTTCTAGCTCTAGTGAGATAGGATTAGTTTTGCTGGGATTGAATTAGATCCTGTGAGAGTGAGTTGTTACAAAGCCAGGACGCCCCTCAGCTTTGGTCCCTCTTTGCATGTGCCCACTTCCACTTTTACTTTCTCTGCCACGTTTTAAGGCAGCATAAAAGCCCTCACCAGAAGCTACACAGATGCAGGTGTCATGCTTCTTGTACAGCCTGTAGAACCATAAGCTAAATAAACCTCTTTTCTTTATAAATTACCCAGCCTCAGGTATTCCTTTATAGCAAGACAAAACAAAGACACCATTATTCTTTTTTTTCCCCCATTGGTTATTGGGGTACAGGTGGTATTTGGTTACATTAGTAAGTTCTTTAGTGGTGACTTGTGAGATTTTGGTGCACCCATCACCAGAGCAGTATACACTACACCCTATTTGTAGTCTTTTATCCCTCACCCACCTCCCACCCTTCCTCACAAGTCCCCAAAGTCCATTGTTTTATTCTTAAGCCTTTGTGTCCTCATAGCTTAGCTCCCACATATCAGTAAGAACATACAATGTTTGGTTTTCCATTCCTGAGTTGCTTCACTTAGAATAATAGTCTCCAATCTCATCCAGATCACTGTAAATGCTGTTCATTCCTTTTTATGGCTGAGCAGTATTCCATCGTGTATGTGTATATATATACATATATATATATATGTATATATATACACATACATATACACACACACATGTATATGTACACATACACACGTATGTATATGTGTGTGTATATATATATATATATGCACATATACACACACCACAGTTTATCGACTTGTTGACTGATGGGCATTTGGGTTGGTTCCATGATCTTGCAATTGTGAATTGTGCTGCTATAAACATGCGTGCGAAGTATCTTTTTCATATAATGACTTCCTTTCCTCTGGGTAGATACCCAGTAGCGGGATTGCTGTATCAAATGGTAGTTCTACTTTCAGTTCTTAAAGGAATCTCCACACTGTTTTCCACAGCGGCTGTACTAGTCTACATTCCCACCAGCAGTGTTGCCTGATCACCACATCCACGCCAACATCTACTTTTTAAAATTTTTTTATTATGGCCATTCTTGCAGAAATAAGGTGGTATTGCATTGTAGTTTTTATTTGCATTTCCCTGATGATCATTAGTGATGTTTAGCATTTTTTTAACAAAATTTTTATTTAATAAATGGTTAAAATCGCAGTGCCAAAAATACATTAACATTTAACAATTTCACTGAAAGGAAAAAACTGTAGAATGCACAGTTTCAGAAAGCTATTTTAAGTTATTTACAAATAAAGTGTCTAAAACGCAAAGGCAGGCTCTATATGCTTTACCAAATTTATCCCTTCCCGAACAAAATTTCTGTTATTTGGGCAAATCCTTAAACCATGGTTTAAACCGTAATGGTTACAAACCACAAATGCATCCATCCAAAGACTGTGAAACCATTTTCATCCGGTCAGTGGCAAAACTGTTGAAAGGGCAATAGTTGAAGCTATTGGGTTTTATACAGTGTGAACTGTTGATATATATTCCTACCAGGACTAAAACACAGCACACTTTGCAGGCATGGCTGACTCACAAAGGTTGTAACAAACAAGAACTGCTCTTTACTCGACACCACAGCTCAGAGGCCACCGAGAAGCACAAGCGACTGACAGCTCCTCTGCTTACAAAAGAATGAAACCCAAAGTGGGTGTCGTTCTCACAGCACTGAAAGTGCTTCAGGACTTGCACTGATCCAATACTAACTTTCTTCCCTATTTTACACACATTTTTCTACTGTCCAATGGAAGTCATTTTCTGTTTTGGCTAAACAACAAATACTAGTGTATAACAGGAATGGTTAAAATCCGTGAGAATTCTGCTTAATTTAAGACATGATCACTACTTTCTTTAGAATGGTTTCTGTGTGTTTCTATGTCACCCTCTGTATTTTTAGCTTCCAGTTTCCTGGTAAGGAGTAAGTTCTCCTTCCCAGTCACACTCGGGGTCATTTACACATTTCTGGGATACCCTCGCTCGTCCACGGAGGGCTGGTGCACGCAGTGACTCATTCTGCCTCTTCCCTGTTCTCAGGATCTGTCCCCGAACCTTTTGCCTTGCAGTTCCTCCCGCTTCCGCCACACGCGAGCTCCCGGATCATACAGCTGCAAGGCCGGCCGGTCCTCGTTTGCCAGTCACTCCTTTCTGGGTGCCGGACCGTCATCACACCTCTGCACTCTTCCTGGTCTCTCCACGGCCTCCCTCGGAGCCCCGCTGTCCCGGCTCCCCCATCTCTGCTAATCTTCACGCCTTCTGGAAAGCCAGTCAGGCTCGTGGTGAGCTCTGTGCCTCCTGCCGTCATCCACATGCTGTCTTTGTGCTTCAGATTCTTTTTCTTGAGATCTCTCCACATCCCTGTGCTCTTTGTCACTGCTGCTGTGTGACCTTAATCCTTACTTCTCTGCAATTTTCTTCGGTTTATCTCATTTTTTGCATCTCTTTTCTTTTTTCCTCTTCCCGCAAACGTTTCTTTTCTCTCTCCTCCTCCGTTCTTCTCGCTTCTCTTCTCGAATTCTCTGCTTTTCTAATTTTCTATTTTTAATATATTCCAAAATAGGTGTAGTTCTTCTAGCAATGAGCTCTCTTGTCTTCGCCTCCATCTCCCCCAGCAGTCTCAGGGTTGGCACTGGTCTTCTCTTCCTCCACACAGTAGGTTTCTAAAAAGTTTTTATATTCTGGATCTCAGGTCGGCGGCAAAGAACTGGAAGTAGTCGTGCGTGGGCAGCGGGCGCAGCTGCTCCTTGGTGAGGCCCGGGGCAGGAGGCGGATGACCGCCTGCAGGGAGCGCACGGCCGTTCCCACAGCGGCGGGGCGTGGACACGGCGCACCTGAGGCACAGTGTACCGCGCTGGGAGGCCAGGGCTCCGCCCCCCGACCCTGTCCCCCGCCCCTCCCCCTCCGCTCAAGGCCGTCCTCTCGATGTTGATCATTTTTTCATATGTTTGTTGGCCATTTGTGTATCTTTTGAGAACTGTCTATTCATGTCCTTAGCCCACTTTTTGATGAGATTATTTGTTTTTTTCTTACTGATTTAAGTTCATTGTCGATTCTGGATGTTAGTCCTTTGTCAGACGTATAGATTGTGAAGATTTTCTCCCACTCCATGGGTTGTCAAAGACACCATTCTAATATCTTTGATGATTAGTGATGTTGAGCACTTTTTCATATACCTATTGGCCGCTTGTGTGTCTTATTTTGAGAAATGTTTATTCAGATGCCTTACCCATTTTCAATCAGGTTGTTTTCTTACTATTGATTTGTTTGGATTCTTTATATATTTTAAGTATTAACCCCTCATCAGATGTATGGTTTGCAAATCCTTTTTCCCATTCTGTAGGTTGTTTTTTTCACTTTGTAGATTTCCTTCACTGTGCAGAAACTTTTTAGTTTGACGTAATCCAATTTTTCTATTTTTGCTTTTATTGCCTGTGCTTTTGGGGTCATATCCAAAAATTTGTGGCCCACACTAATGTCATGAAGCTTTCCCTGTTTTCTTCAGTACTCTTAAAATTTCAGATCTTATGTTAATGTCTTTAATCTATTTTGAGATGATATTTGTATACGGGGCGAGATGAGGGTCTAATTTCATTCTTCTGCATGTAGATATCCAGTTTCCCCCCGCTTTTTCCAGCACCATTTATTGAAGAGACTCTCTTTTCTCTCTCTTTTTGGTGCTGGGAAAAGTGCACCTTTTTTGCACCATCGTCAAAAATCAATTGACCATAACCAGGGTCTCTAGTTTGCTAGGATTTTGTTGAGGACTTTTGCATCTATGTTTATCAAGGATATTACCCTGTAATTTTCTTTTCTTGTAGTGTCCTAGTCTGACTTTGAATGTGTTTAAGAGTGTTCTCCCAGGCCGGTGCAGTGGCTCATGTCTCTAATCCCAGTGCTTTGGAAGGCCGTAAGTGGGAGGATCACTTCAGGCCAGGCCAGGAGCTTGAAACCAGCCTGGAAAACAGCAAGAATCCATCTCTATAAAAAGTAAAAAAAAAATTAGGTGGGCATGGTGGCACATGCCTGTAGTCCCACCTACTCGGGAGGCTTGAGGTGGGATTACTTGAGCCCAGGAATTTGAGGCTGCAGTGAGTTATGATTGCTCCACTGCACGCCAGCCTGAGTGATAAAGCAAGATCCTGTATCAAAAAAAAAAAAAAAAAAACTTTCTCCCTTCTTCAATTTTTTGGTAGTTTTAGAAAGAATGGTCATCAGGTCCTGGGCTTTTCTTTGATGGTAGACTTTTCATTACTGATTCAATCTCTTATTTGTTATTGGTTGCTATTGGTCTGTTTAGATTTTCTGTTTCATGATTCCACCTTGGTAGATTGTATGTGCCTAGTATTTTCTTCTACATTATTAATTTGTTGACATAATTATTCATAGTAGCCTCTTATTCTTTTGTATTTCTGTAGTATCAGTTGTAATGTCTCCTCTTTCATTTCTTATTTTTTGAGACTTCTCTCTTTAATTCTAGCTAAAAGTTTTAAAATTTTATCTTTTTAAAAAACCAGCTATAGTTTTGTTGCTCTTTTCTATTGTTTTTCTAATCTCAATTTCATTTATTTCTTCTGATCTTTATTATTTTCTTCCTTCTACTAAATTTGGGCTTGGTTTGTTCTTTTTCTAGTTCCTTGAGATGTAATGTTAGGTTGAGATCTTTCTTGTTTTCTGATGTAGGTGTTTCTTGCTATAAAACTTCCTTCCTAAAACTATTTTTGCTGCTTCCCATAAGTTTTGTTTGGTATGTTGTATTTCCATTTCCATTTTTTAAAAGATAATTTAAAATTTCCCTTTTAAATTCTTCTTTGCTCCACTGGTTGTTCAGTAACATGTTTGATTTCTAGGTATTTGTGAATTTTCCAATTTACTCCCAGTTATTGATTTCTAGCTTCATACCATTGTGGTCAGAAAAGATATTTGATACAATTTTAATCTTCTTAAATTTGGTAAGACTTGTTTGTGGCCTAACATATGATCTATCCTGAAGAATGTTCCATGGGCACTTGAGAAGAATGTGTATCTTGCTTCAGTTGAATAGAATGTTCTATATAAGTATGTTAGGTCCCTTTGAGCTAAAACTATTTAAGTCCAAAATTTCCCTATTTTTCTGTCTGGATGATGTGGCCCTTGCTGAAAAAGTAGGGTATTGAAGTCCCCTACTATTACTGTATTATAGTCTCCTTTCAGATCTATTAATATTTTCTTTATATATTTTGGTGTTCCAATGTTGCATGCAGATATATTTGTAATTATTATATCCTCTTGCTGAATTGATCTCTTTATATTTACATAATGACCTTGCTTTACAGTTTTTGACTTAAATGTTATATAATTATAGCTACCCTGCCCTCTTTTGGTTTCCATATGTCCCGAATATCTGTTTACCTCCCTTCACTTTTAGTCTACCTGTGTCCCTTATAGGTGAAGCGAATCTCTTGTAGGCAGTTTATAGTTGGGTATTGGCTTTTTATCCATTCAGCCAGTCTCTGTCTTTTGACTGGAGAATTTAAGACATTTACATTCAAATTAATTATTGATGGGTAAAGACTACTGCCATTTTGTTAATTGTTCACTGGTTGTTTTGTAGATCCTTTGTTGCTTTCTTCCTCTCTTCTTGTCTTCCTTTGTGATTAGGTGATTTTCTCTAGTGGTAGGCTTTATTCCTTAATTTTTATCTTTCGTGTATTTACTAAAGTTTTTTGCTTTGTGGTTACCATGAGATTTACGTAAAATATAATTATAATAGGGTTTTTAAAATTTTTATTTTATTTTGTACATTTCTTCACTATGTCCTATGCTCATAACAGGCTATTTTAAGCTGATAAAAACTTTATTCACATAAAAAAAAAAACTACACTTTTACTCTACCCTCCTCACATTTTAAATTTCTGGTGTCATAATTTACATCTTTTTATATTGTGTATCCCTAAAATTATTGTAGCTATTATTATTTTAATAGTTCTGTCTTTTATCCTTCATACCAAAGCTATAAGTGATTTATATACCACCATTACAGAATTAGAGTATTCTGAATTTGACTGTATACTTACTTTCACCAGTGAGTTTTATACTTTCACGTTTTCATGTTAGTACTTACTGTCCTTTTCTTTCAGCCTGAAGAACTCCCTTTTAGCATTCTTTTTAAGACAGGTCTGATGGTAATGAACTCCCTCAGCTTTTGTTCATCTGGGAAAGTCTTTAGCTCTCATTTCTGAAGGACAGCTTTGCCAGGTATTAATATAATATTGCTGGTTGGCAGTTTTCTTCCTTAAAGACTTTGAACATATCATCCCACTCTCTCCTGGTCTATAAGGATTCTGATGAGAAAACTGCTGCTAGCTGTACTGGAACTCCCCTTTATATGTTATTTGCTCTTCTCTTGCTGCTTTCAGAATCTTCTCTTGCTGCTTTCATAATCTTCTCTTGCTGCTTTCATAATCTTCTCTTGCTGCTTTCAGAATCTTCCCTGTGTCCCTGATTTTCAACAGTTTATGTGTTGGCGTAGTCTTTGGACTAAATCTGATTGGAGTTCTTTGACTTTCCTGTACCTAGATACTTATACCTTTCCTCAGATTTGCAAAGCTTTTTTTATTTTAAATAAGCTTTCTACCCCTTTATTTCTCCTTTCTCCTTCATTTACTCCTATAACTTGAATATTTACTCTTTTGGTGCTGTCCCATTAATTCCATAAACTTTCTTCATTCTTTTTTTCTTCTGTATGTTTTCAAATAACCTGTATGTTCAGGTTTAAATTCTTTCTTCTAATTGTTCAATTCTGTTGGTGATGCTATTACATTTTCTTTTCATTCATTGTGTTCTTCAGCTCTAGAATTTGTTTAATTTTTAAGAAATATATAATTTCAATCTCTCTGGTAAACTTCTCATTTTGGTAACTTGCTTTCCTGATTTCATTGAATTGTTTCTCAGTATTTTCTTGAAGTTCATGGATGTTACTTTTTAAAACAATTATTCTGAATTCTTTGTCAGGCAGTTCATACATCTCCATTTCTTTGGGTCAGCTTCTGGGAGATTATTGTGCTCTTTTGGTGATGTTACGTTTATGTCTCCTTGGTTTTTCATTTCTTGTTGCCTTACATTGATGTCTGGGCATTTGAAGATGTAGAGACTTATTCTAGTCTTTGACTGGCTTTGTCTGGGAAAGCCCTTCACTAGTCAGTCAATTCAGGGATTCTAGTCCAGCTGCCTGCTATGGTCCATAGGTTGGCTTGCTCTTAAGAGTCTTCACACTGGCTGGCCTGGTGCCTGGGTCAGCAGGTGGGTGAGCTTGGTGCCTGGGTCCATGGAGTTAAGCCTGAAACTTGGGTCCACAGGAGTGGACCTGTTGTCTGGTTCTGTGGAATGGGCCTGCATCTAAGAGGGTGGGTCTGAAGCCTGGGTCCACTAGAGCTGACCTGGCACTGGGGTAGGCCTTGAGCCTGAGTCTGCAGGGGCCAGCCAGGCACTGGGATGAGCCTGGTGCCTGGGTCCACTGGGATAGGCTGAGTCTGTGGGAGTGGGCCTGGGTCAAGAGTCCACAGGGGCTGGCCTGGAGCCTGGGTCTGCAGAGATAGTCCTGGAGCTTCCGTCCATGGAGACTGGCCTAGAACCAGGGCCTACTAGGGTGAACTTGGACTCTCTGTCTACTGGAGCAAACCTAGATCTTGGGTCCTTGGAACCTGCAGCTGACCTAGTGCTGGGGCAGGTGTGGAATCACGATCTATGGCAGCTTGTCTGGAGTGTAGGATCATGGTTGCTGGCCTGGTATCTGAAGCCACTGAGGCTGGCTGAAAGCCTAGAGCTTAGGAGTCTGGCTAGAGCCTGGGTCCACTTGTGTTGGCCTGGAGGCTGAGTGTGCAGGTGCTGGCCTGGGGGTCAGGTCTGCAAAGTCTAGCCTGGGTCCTGGGGCTTTAGGGGCCAGTCTGAAACCTGGATCCACAAGTGTAGTCCTAGAACTTGGGTCCATGGAGGCTGGTCCATCACTGGAGTCTACTAGGATAAGCCTGAACCCTGGGTCTGTGAGTGCTAGCCTCATGATCAGGGCTGTGGGCAGCTGGTCTGGAGCCTGAAGCCACTGGGTTTGGCCTGGTGCTGGAATAGGTCCAGAGACTGAGTCTGCTGGGCAGGCCTCGGGCCTGCAGCTTTGGAATCCAGCCTGGGGCTTGGAGATATTGCCTGGCACCAGGATGGGACTAAATGCTCAGTTCATGGGTACCAGCCTGGAGTCTGGGGCCACAGAAGCCTTTCTGGCACTGGGTTTTACCAGGACAAGCCAAGTGTTTGGGTCTGAGGAAAAGTTCAGTGCTAACTTCCTTCTCCTTTCCCCACATGAAGGGTATCTCTCTCCATACTGTGCTGCCTGGGGTTGGGGGAGGGGTGGTGCAAGTAGCATAAAACTGTCCTTTTTAGCCTCTTCAATGCATCATTTCTTTACTACTCTCAGGTACTACTATCTCTGACCTGGTTTCCTTAGCTCTTGTGAAGGTATTTTTCTGCATGGATGTATGTTCAACTTGATGTTTCTGTGTGGAGACGAACATGGAAAGTCCTTTTCTGTCATCTTGCTGATGTCCATTGAGATTAACTTTCATAATCAACTCTTGACTAGATTACTGAACAGTCTCCTAGATTTTATTTTGACCCCCTCTAATCTATTTTCCAAATTGCAGCCAGAGTAATCTTTAAAAAACAATCTGATTATGTCATTCCCTGATTAAAACCTTTCATTGGCTCTTCATGGTTTTCAGGATAAAGTCAAAATTCCTTAACACAGCATGTAAGGACTTTCATGTGTTAGTTCTCTTGACCTCATCCCTCAGCATTCACCTTTCCATTTATATTCACCAACAGCCCTTGAACTTGTTCTTGCCAAGGTCACCTTTCTCTAAGCCCCATCTCCTTCTCACCTCGGGATAAACTTCTACAAAACTTTATACCTACCTTCGGCATCAATATCGCCAGAAATCCTGGATCAGGTACTACTCTGTTGATCTCTGTCAGAGCACTTATCCCTTAGTAAAACACAATTGCCTGTTAACCTGGTTGTCCCTTTCCTCTACTTGGTTATGAATTCTTTGAGGGCAGGGACCCAGTCTCAGTAAAAACCCTTGGTTCTTAGCACAATGTCTGTCATACAGAAGAGATAGCTAAATATTTAATGAATTGATAGCTTGAATGGTATCTTTCTGAGCATAGATAAAGTAAGAACAACTAAGATTTCTCACTACTTTATGGTTTATAACATAATCATTATTTCTCATTAGTTTTTATAACAATCCCATTAGGTAGGTGGTATCATTAACCATTTTTTATATACGAAGAAACAAGAACAGAGGAGGTAAGTGACTTTCCCAAGGCTGGACTCAAATCTAGGCTTCCTAGGTAATTTTAGGATTGGGAATCTTCTACCAAACAACCACATCTCCACTGAAATATTTAGAACTCAGTGGGGTAATTCATTCTGCCATAGGACTACAAATCATCCTCTGTGTAATTTAATCTTTTGAGATAAAAATGGCATTTAAATGAATTTTCAAAATAAAATGTCTAACTTGAATACCTGTATTGCTTAAACTTTTCGTATAAGAAACATCTACATTTTTAACCACTGTATTTAACACCTCACAAAGCTGATAAAAATTCAGTATCTGTAGTAGCTACAAGGCTTGTACATATATTAATACTATAAATATCTGAGAATTGAGTCAGAAAGCTTACCTATTCTTGGAACAGTTCATAGCTATATGCCATTAGAAACGCCTAGTAATAGCAAGATTCATAAATACTACTAATGTTCTTGCTATGTGAAGTCACGAATGAACAGCAATATTACCAATTTCCTTTACCCTGGCCTAAGGTTATAAGCTATTTTTCTCAATGTGCTTGGTAAAGACCAAACTCAATGAAGAGCTAATTTCTCACAAGACAAAAATTTTCTTTGAGAGATTGATTCCCAAGCATTAATCACTAATCATCCAAGCATTCATTATCAATTCTAATCACTTAATGTTGGTATTTCTACAAGGCTATATCATAATGTTCATAATTATACCACACTCTATAGTGAAAAAAAGCAGCAGTCACCCAAACCTCTCCCATCCAGTTAACAAAGTCTTACTGTTCCAACATAGGATTATTTAAAATATTCAAACAACTATTTTCAGTTCATTTTTGAAAAACATATCAGTAATTTTTAAAAAACAAAATGAATACTCACAATACATCTTTGAAGTCTCCAAACACATACATATGCCTAAAGCTGTCAATAGCGATTACAGGACAATCTGCTGGAGTTTTCTGTATGTGCAGAAGAGGATGTCTAAATTTGTCACAATCGGCATGTAAAAAGTTTATTGTACCTTTAAGAAAAAAGAATTTTGAGAGGTAAATTCAAATTTTCTTGAAAATATTTTTGTAAGATTGCAAGCTCACAAAAAGTGACATACTAAAAAAAAAGCACCCAACATTCTTAAGAGTAATATAGATCAGAAAAACTAAAACCTAAATATCTAACACTTAAAATAGGTAGGCTTTTAGTTCTTAGGGCACAGAGTATAACTTCTTTAGAAATCATATTGACTTAGTGCAAATTTGAAGGCTATAATGAATTTTTTACTTTCCTTAAATGGGCAATCATTTACTTTGCAGATTATCAGGTTCTAGGCAGGAAGTTCAAGTTGATATATGAGCCATTCTCATGGGACCATTTTCATTCCAGCCTATTCCAGTCATACTGGTTGATTTTTAGTCGAATTCAACCTGCAAGATAGTATGTGACTAAAATGGGCAGCTCTATAGAGTACCTTTAGTTTATTTTGTTTGACTTTCTTCCCTAACTACAGAGGAAAAGCTGGTGACACCTCAAATTCCATTAAATGCTTTGGAGAAATCCACAGACAACTACTCAACTTTCTTTCATTTAGAAATAAATGTTAATCAGACTGTGTAAGCTCTCTCAGCAACATCTCTGGGAATGTCCATTGGAAAAGGGGTCACACAAGCAATGAAGGCAAGTGCCCAGAACTAATGCTCATTCATGACCCTGCTTTTCATGCACTTTGATTTTTCTCTCCAAAATAGTAATGGTTAGAAAACAAACAAACAAAAAAACACTACCTCATATTATCTCTCTACTAATGCCTCCTTACCATCACATTTGAATGTGTTAAAATAAGTTTTTAACCCAAATATGTTTATGTGATTTGACAGAAATGGGAGAGGAGATGATGAAAGGGAAAAAAAGAAAAGAGAGAAAGAAATGATGAAAATAAACACCTTAATCTGTCTACCTTTTTCACTTATTAATTGCCGAGCTACTTCATTCTGGAATATTTCTAAACTTTCTGTATCTTCTTTCATGTGAAAGAGTATGAGAAAAGGCAGTCCTTCTTCTGTCAATTCCTGTAGAGAGAAGCATTCAATGAGAATTATCAGGCTTCTCCATTCAGTTGTAGCTATTTTCTAGGTAGGAACAATTTTGAACCCAACCCATGTAATGCAATAGTTGCAATATCCCGGGGGAAAAAAAAGGCCCAGTGGTGTGAATAAACATTAGCCTGAACAGAAGACTGAATTCACTCCCCTCCCCACCTCAAGTACCCAGACAGTCAGAGGACCCACATGCCCTGCTTTGCTGCAGAAACTGATCTGCCCCCACTGTCTGTTAGCCAGTATGGGATATGAGACTTCAGGGTTAGGCTGTTGAATTCATGACATATAGAGGTGAACTATGCTGGTTCTTTACCAAGGTGTTAATTTTAGAGTGGGGTAAACATGACTAGTATTTTCAGTCTTCACAAGTAACAGTGAAAAACAGTATATCAGCAATAAATAAATCTGATTTGCAAAATTTTTTGTATTTTTTTATATTCTAAGGTTGCAAAAACCATTACACTTACATATAAAACTTACCCAAAGCTTGAAGTGTTTTATCCAGGGTAAAAAACAAAACCTCCATTATTTAACTAATTCTCAACCAATATACAATTAACATTATTAATAAATACCTACCCCTATATATTTTTATATACCTCTTTATTTATACACACAGAAAAGCACCTTGAAAATTATAAAGTGCTATTAAAATTTTTATTGTTGTAATTGGAGAATACTACAATGGGTAGACATGATTAAATAAAATGTGATATGTAGACAGATTTAATCATTTATTCTCCCCAACAAATGCTAAGTTCTGACTCATCAGAAAAAGTCCAGAAAGGGTCTCATAACAAAATTATTTTCATCAACTATCCTTTTGAGGATCTCTCCATAAATCTAGGAACTACCTCACCAGAAAGTACAAATGTCCTTTATTTTTTAAAAAACAAACTGGGACCTATTTTACAGGATTAAAAGTTTTCTTCTGGCTCTCATCTCCATATTTAAGCCTATTTCACTTGTATATAAGATCAATTATTAAGCCTCTTGTTACATTTATTTTTTTAAAAAACTGAGATACAATTAGCATACCATAAATTTCACCATTGTTTTTTTGGAGACAGGGTCTCACTGTGTCGCCCAGGCTGGAGTACAGCCTCGACCTCCCCAGGCTCAGGTGATCCTCTCACCTCAGCCTCCCAAATAGTGAGGACTACAAACATGCATGACCATGCCCAGCTCATTTTTGTTATTTTTTGTAGAGATGGGATTTCGCCATGTTGCTCAGGTTGGTCCCAAACTCCTGGGCTCAAGCAATCTGCCTGCCTCAGCCTCCCAAAGTGCTGGAATTACAGGTATGAGGCAACACACCCAGCCCATCATTTTTAAGTGTACAATTTTGTGGTTTTAATTATATTCACAAGGTTGTGCAAACATCACCACTAATTCTAGAGCTTTTTTTTTGAGACGGAGTCTCACTCTGTAGCCCAAGCTGGAGTGCACTAGTGCAATCTTGGCTCACTGGAACCTCTGCCTCCCGTGTTCAAACGATTCTCCTGTCTCAGCCTCCTGAGTAGCTGGGACAACAAGTGCACATCACCATGCCCAGCTAATTTTTTTGTATATTTAGTGGAGATGGGGTTTCACCATGTTGGCCAGGATGGTCTCAATCTCCTGACCTCATGATCCATCCCCCTCGGCCTCCCAAAGTGCTGGGATTACAGGCATGAGCCACTGCGCCCAGCCCCAGAATATTTTTTATCACTTCAAAAAGAAACCACATACCCATTAGTAGTGATTCCCATCTCCCCTCTCCCCACCCCCTGGCATCACATTCATCTTTTAGTAAGCTGATTTTTTTCTTCCTCATCTTTTATCTCTTGGACTCACATTTTTTCTTCCCCCATCCATTAACTGATGCTGGTCTCAATGACTGTCTTTGGACTTCTCTGCTCTAGCCTGACAAGTTCATGTAGTTCAACAGTTTTGATCACTACTTCTAACTGATCGCTTATCTGTGTCTACAAGCCCAGCTCCAGTACAAAATCCAAGCCTAGGTTTCCATCTGCCTGCTTAATATCTCCATTTCAAATTCTAAACAAGTACCTTAAATACTCAAAACTAATGCCTAGTCCCCTCCTCTCTAACCTCCTTCTCCTGTTTTCCCATTTTCTTTAGTACTTCTGCTTCTCTCTTAGCACTTTTCTTTTCAGGACGTAATGCCGCTTCTCTAAAGTCATCTCTCATTCCACTCCATCCCTGTCAAAGGAAAATTCTTTTTTCTAAACTCCAAGAGCATTTTATCAATGGAAAATTCTTTTTTCTAAACTCCAAGAGCATTTTATCAGTGCCCCTCATGTGGCACGGGGCATGACTTTGTGTTACGTTATCTGTACATATGAAATATTAAACTGAAAACCCCTTGAAGACAATCTTATTTCATTTCTCTTTTCCTCACAATCAACATATATCAATAAATAAACAAATGTTGCTAAATAGGTGGTAATTCATGCTGCTTAGGCTTCCAAGTTTACTATGTCCATACAAGCATATTCTTTACCAAACAAATGTTAAAAGATTAAGGAGAAGAATATCAAGACAACCAGATTTACAGGAAACAGATCCTTCCCCACAGATTACATGATTTAATGGTTGGTTAAATGGTTAAATGGTTGCTTACAACATAATAAATCTCAAGAATTATTAGATGTGCCAACAACCACGGGGAAGGGAGATGCCGTTTCACTGTTTAAGATTTTCCAGGTCTATACCTTTAAATCTGGTTTTAAAAACTACCCCTGCAAGAACTACCACAGCAGGCAAATAGTCATGACAAATTCTTAAATTTTCCTGGGCCTCTGAGGACTAAATGAGTGAATGCAAATTTTTTTAAAAATTGTAAGTAATCCAACTAAACATACCTGAGGCCTACAGAAGTAAGAAAACCAGGGACAGGCTGGGCACGGTGGCTCACACCTGTAATCCCAGCACTTTGGGAGTCTGAGGCGGGTGGATCACCTGAGGTCAGAGTTCGAGACCAGATTGACCAACATGGTGAAACCTTGTCTCTACTAAAATTACAAATATTAGTTGGGCGTGGTGGTGGGCGCCTGTAATCCCAGCTACTCAGGAGGCTGAGGCAGGAGAATCCCTTGAACCTGGGGGGCAGAGGTTACAGTGAGCCGAGATCGCACCATTGCACTCCAGCCTGAGCGACAAGAGCGAAACTCCATCTCAAAAAAAAAAAAAAAGAGAAAAGCAAAAAAAAGAAAGCCAGGACATTCATTTTTATAAACTGTTAGCAGAAAAAGTCTAATCCACCCTCTCTTTCAAAACCAAGTTTAAGATCAAAATGGAAAAGACTAACAATTCAAATATAAAGAAATATTTTTTAAATGTTTACTTCCTTAAAGTTTGATATAAAGGACTTCAAACGGTCTGCTTTACAATTGCTTGTACTTAACTATTCTATTAATAAATTCTAAGTTAAAAAAAAACATAAGTATGAATGTGCATTAAAAAGCAGAGGGAGCTTAAATCCCAATCTCTTCTAGGCTTCTGGTACTATAAAACTATGACACACCACTGACACCTTGTGGCCAAACACTCAAATTGTAGGAGCAGTATTTTGAATTCTGTGAAATGTCTTATCTACCTTAAAATGCTATTAATGATAGGAAAGAGATGGAGGCAAGACAAGATTATGCATGCTATGTCCAATCTATATATCCAGTATTAAAAAGAAAAGAAGAGAATATAAAATTGAGTGCAGTGCACATAGAAGGGTATTATTCAATGAAAAATGAGAATTATGTATATACTAGTGAAAATGTCTTACTTTGCCTTACAATGAAAAATGGTTTGAAAGCCACTATTTGGTCCAAACA
Source organism: Homo sapiens (assembly GCF_000001405.40). Classification (NCBI taxonomy): domain Eukaryota; kingdom Metazoa; phylum Chordata; class Mammalia; order Primates; family Hominidae; genus Homo; species Homo sapiens. Next base: position 100,011,553 of record NC_000009.12, read on the forward strand.
TTTGAACTCCTGTACCTGAGCATCCAGTGTGTCATGGGGGGTAATGACACATAATTAAAGATAGAAAGACACCCAATCTGAGCATATTTATTCAAACCATCTCAAAAAACTACATATAAAACAACTACAATGACTCAAGATGCATCTTAACAATATGAATTACTCAGAATCCAGGGAAATACTACTTTGAGAAGCAGGTTCAAAAATAACACTGAAAAAAGCAACAGAACATTACTGAATAAAAAAATACTCTGGTCACTAAGAATGGACTTAAAATGCCAAGCTGTCATATAGAAATAAAGGTTGAGTATCTCTTATTCAAAATGCTTGGGATCAGAAGTGTTTTGGATTTTGAAATATTTGCATTATTCTTACCGCTGCAGCATCCCTAATCTAAAACTCTGAAATGCTCCAAGAGTGTCATGTAGGTGCTCAAAAAATTTTGGATTTTGGAGCATTTCAGATTTTCAAATTAGAAATACTCCCCGAAATTCTAAAAAACTGGGGAAAAGGAAGTAGAACCAAAGAATCTCAGGAACAAAAGAAACTAGAAAATTTGGTAAAGCAACTTCTTCAAACCAAAAAAAAGAGACTTTCCAAGAAAAGGCTTGTGTTAGAATTTTCACTCAAAAGTCTTCTATAATTCAAAATTCCAAAATATTTTAAAATATGGCATTGCATTAAGATATGCAATGAATTTGCATATCTATTGCAATATCTATTGCATATCTAGTGCAATAGAGCCTGATAAGTTTATGATATTTAAGCTTGCAGGCTTAAAAATATATTAATCACATTTCATGAGAAGCCATTTTTAGAACCTTGATTTGAGAAATAGCTATTATAAACAAGTAGGATGTCCCAGTGGGGTATTCTGACATGTTAAACTGGATCCTGGCAGCACTAATCCTCTTTCTATGAAACACTCAGCAAAGAGCCAATGTAAGATGATTTAGGTTTGCAATGATCTGTCCAAGCAGACACACCCAGAGAATCTCATACAAACATTCATACATTTGATTTGAAATTGCTACAAGCTTAATAAGAATTAAATATTATTTTATGGTGGAAAAGGTATACCAAAAATGTACCATGCTGACATAAAAATACTAACTTATTTTTATGTACTAAAATGCAAAGGCAACGTTTAAATCAGGTAAAAAAAAGTCTTTTAAAGAGTTTTTAAATGCTGTTGGCATAGACTTCTGCTTCCAGAAAGATGAAGTAGACACTTTTCTCTATTTCTCCCAGGAAGTTCAGCTAAAAATCCTGGACATTATATAAACAAACATAAGGCCCTGAGAAGCAAATAAAAGAAAGCAGACTGGCTAAGGACTTAAGGATCCAAGAAATAGTACTCAGTTCCTTGGGTTTTCTTTTTGCCTTATATATCCCAGTCTAAGTGTTGGAAATGGCAATGGACGCAGATCAAAAATACCCCAAGAATGCATTCTCAAGACAAAGAGGGGGCAAAGAGCATTCTGGTTTGCTCACAATGGTCAGTCCCAAAAGTTAAGTGTTGCTCTCTCTTCCCCAAGAAAGGGAGAAAGAGATAGTAAGATCTAAGAGCTGGAAGCCTCTGGAAAGATTCAGGGAATCTTGGAGAATTCACATATATTATCTCCAAATCTGAAAGCACTTAACAATATACATACACCTTAGTAACAGAAGACATCAAATCTGAAATTATACTCTTTCTTAAGAACTCCAGGTTTTGTTGTATTACAATTAGGTTAAGCTATAGTGCTAAAAATTGCATTCTGGAGTAATAATGGATGTAATCTGGACTAATCTTACTACTGGGAAAATTAGAAAAACCAGAGTAATAATAATAATAATAATAAAACACTTTTTGAAAGCATCTAAGAGTGAAAAAAAAAAAAAAAGAATTATGGGCCAAGACTGGAATAGAAGGAAACCCAGAACATTAAGCATGGCATTTTAAGCTGCTTTTCTTCTACGACCATCTGTCTTTCCGGAAAAGGCAACTGATAGTGCTCAATCCCACTGATCATCAGGGAAATATAAATTAAAACCACAATGAGACTCTACTACACATACACCAAAATAGATTAAAAATGTAAATAGCTGGTATCAAATGTGGGTAAGGACGTGGAGCAATGTGAACTTTGATATACTACTGGTAGGAATGTAAACTGCTAAAACCACTTTGGAAAAACTGGTATCCACTAAAATTGAATGTATATATGCCCTATGACTCAGCAATTCTATTCATAGGTATATATATCCAGTAGAAATCTGTGCATATATTCACCAAAGACATAGATAAAGAATGTTCATAGCAGCATTATTCACGGTAGTCAAAATCTGGAAGCAGTCTAAATGTCCACCAATAGTAGAATGGATATATTGTGTTATATTTATATAGGGAATTATATTCAGCATGAAAATGAATGAACTACAGCTTCATGCAATATGAATGAACTCCATAAATATAAAGTTGAGTGAAAGAAGCCAGACACAAAAGACATGATTCCATTTTAGGTTCAAAAACAGGAAAAGCTTCCTATAGTCCTATTGAAAATAAGTATGGTGATTATGAAGATGGTAAGTGGGGGTAATAACTGAGAAGGAAGACAAGGGGTTTGGAAATACTTTATTTCTTGACTTAGCTCAGGGATTGGCAAATTATAGCCATGGGTCAAATCTGACTTGCTGCCTGATTCTGTTAGGTCCACAAGCTAAAATTGGTCTTTAGTTGTTTTTTGTTTTTTGTTTTTCTTTTTTGGAGGGACGGGGTCTCACTCTGTCGCCCAGGCTGGAGTGCAGTGGTGGATCCTGGCTCACTGCAACCTCTGCCTCCTGGATTCAAGTGATTCTCCTGCCTCAGCCTCCCGAGTAGCTGGGATTACAGGCGCCTGCCACCACGCCTGGCTAATTTTGCATTTTTAGTAGAGACGGGGGTTTCACCATGTTAGTTAGCCAGGCTGGTCTCGAACTCCCGACCTCAGGTGACCCACCCACCTTGGCCTCCCAAAGTGCTGGGATTACAGGCGTGAGCCATGGCACAAGGCCCTGGTCTTTACATTTTTAAATAATTGGGAAAAAAATTTAATATTTCACAGCATGTGAAAATTATTTGTCCAGAAAGAGCTTTATTGAAACACAGCCACGCTCATTTGTTTACATATTGTCTAAGGTTACTTTTGTGCTACAACTGCAAAGCTGAGTAGCTGCCACAGAGATTATATGAACTGCAAAGGCTAACATACTTACTATCTGACCCTTTGTTGAAAAAAATTGTCCACCCTCTCTCTTAGTTTGGGCTGCTATATTAAAGTACCATAAACTGGGTGGCTTACAAATTAACAGAAATTCATTTCTCATCATTCTGGAGGCTGGAAATCCAAAATCAGGGTGCCAGCATGGTCAGTTCTAGTGAGAGCTGTCTTCTAGGCTGCAGACTGCCTACTTCTCATTGTATCCTCACATGGCAGAAAGAGAGCTACATAACTCTCTGAGGTCTCTTTTATGAGTTCACTAATCCCATTCATGAGGACTCCATCTCATGAATGGAGGATTCATTCCCTAATACTGTCACATTGGGGATTAGGATTTCAACATATGAATATTAGGACACACAAATATTTGGTCCATACCACTCTAAGTAGTGATTATATGGGTATGTTTACTCTGTGATAATTTTGGGGGACCAGATATTTAAACTGTGATTTATACACTTACAATTCTTTGAAGTGTATATGCATACACAAAGTTTTTAAAAACTGTACCTAATACAAAGTTTTTAAAAACTTGCATTCTTAGGCCATTGGTTTTAAAAACAAAAGACCTGGAATGAAAGATATGTCTTACATAAAGTAAAGAAAGGAGAGAGGTCCTTACAGACATAACTCTTTGTACTTGTTCCTCCAGCCTCTTAGGTTTTTAAGTTTTATTTTGGTGGGAGTTGTAAGAATTTCGATGGGCTTGATTTCAGATGCATGGGATGACTGAGGTCGGTTACCTATCACTGCTACCTGCTTTCATTATTTATAATGGAAAAGACAACATTAACTGCTTTACAAAAAACAGAAAAATCTTCTAGTGGCAAAGGATTATTCATTGTATAGAAATAATTGTAACTAAAATCTGCAAAGCATTGCTCCTAAAGCAGCAGTCCCCCACCTTTTTGGCACCAGGGACTGGTTTCATGGAAGACAATTTTTCCACTGATCAGGGTGGGGGATATGATTTCGGGATGAAACTGTTCCACCTCAGATCATCAGGCATTAGTTAGATTCTCATAAGGAGAATGCACCCTAGATCCCTCACATGCACAGTTCACAACAGGGTTCACATTCGTATGACAATCTAATGCTGCCACTGATCTGACAGGAGGCAGAGCTCAGGCCGTAATGCTCTCTCGCTGGGCAGCCCTCTTCCTAGCAGGCCGTGGACTGATACAGGTCTGCGGCCCAGGGTATGGGGACCCTTGTTCTAAAGGACATCCACCTAAACAGGGATCCTCAACCAACAGATGGGTATCAGAATCACCTGAAAGGCATTTTCAAACTCATTTTGAAGGCTGTAGTGAACTACTACTATTACTGGAAATGTAACAGAGGGGTTCTGGGATAGCAAAGGTGAAGAATCACTGGTGTATATTACAGAAACAGCTATGATATAGTTATGTTCACTATATGATTCTTACAATTCATAACTCTGTTAACATAGTAAGACAGGTGGAGGAAGCTTGTGGTTTCAGACATTTGAATTTAAAGTAACAATGCACAGTAGAAAGCCCATACCTCTCCATTTTCAAATGTTATTTCTCGGACAAGAGGAACACATTTATCTTGAATCCAATTGTAAGTCACATCAAAATTTGTCATAGCTCCCAAGTACACCATATCCGGAGCAGAATGCTATTACAAAACAGAAAAAAAAAATTAAATCTAACCTGTGCTGGCAAAAGTATATTCTTATTTTTTTTCTTTATATTTTTTAAAGCAAGGTCTCACTCTGTCACCCAGGCTGGAGTACAGTGACATGATCATGGCTCACTGCAGCCTTGACCTCCTGGGCTCAAGCAATTCTCTTACCTCAGCCTCCAGAGTAGCTGGGACTACAGGTACATGCCACCACGCCAAGCTAATTATTTTATTTTATGCAGAGATGGGGTCTTGTTATGTTGCCCAGGCTAAAAAGTACATTCTTATATCCATCCATGAACCCAGAAAATCTACTGGTAATACAAAAGAAACATAGATCATGGAACTTCCAAGAAAGAGGGCCATGGGTGGCAAAAAGCAGATAATTCTGTGATTACCAGGGAGCTAATAATCTAACCTGTGACACCCAAGCCTATTGCTTTTTCTTGGATTTAGGTCAATTAACTCTTTATCAGTATCTTCACCAAAGGCAGGAAGGCATTGTGAAAAGAATTCTCCAAATGAATTAATTTAGCTATTCCTAAGAGCTGAAAATTTTAGAAATTTCTTCTTTTAGAAGAAAATGTGGATAGTGAAAAAGCCTTGAAACATACAAGATGCTATATGGATGTAAGGCACGACTATTTCTTTTATTACCTACATATCTGTTTCTACATTAACTCAAAATCAATTATCTATGAAGTGTCTAAAATGATGATAAAAATAATAGCTAATATTAATCAGTAAACTTACTGGGTCTAGGCATGGTTGTGAACATTTTATATGTGTTGATTCATTTAATCTTCCCAACATCCCAATAAAGCAAGTACTGTTTTTATCATCCCGTTTTTACTAATTAAGAAACTGAAGCGCGGGGAAGCGAAGAAACTTTCCCAGAGTAACATACTAAGAAGGTGGCACATTTGACATTCAAACCCAGTCTGATACCACCAGAGCCCATGCTCTGAACAACCACACTACCACTGAGAGATAGGTACTGGATTCTGATAATCTAGAGATGATGATACTAAGTAAGCTACTCAAAGAAATGTACTTGCAAAAAATATAAGCAAACACCTATGTGAATTCAAAATAGAATATGAACTTTCTAAGCAAGAAATTCATTTATCTGACTGCATAAAAATTAAAAATCTCAGTGTCAAAACACTGTAAACAACATTAAAATGAAAACTATAAATTGAAAAAATATCCATAAATTTCAATTTTTTTTGGTATGTAAAAAAAATTGCAATGGCAGACGCTTGGTGAATTTGGGATAACATGTGCTACGATTTTTGCCTCTTAGTTATGGCTACCATCACCTGGTAGGGCCTAAGCAGCTACTTAAAACTTCTTACCCCACAGGTTAAAAACAACCTAGCTGCTCCTTATTATCTGGCAGGTACCAAGTAAATTTATACCCCAGAAGATTTGGGAGTTTGGCTAGTACAATACGGGTAGAAGTGACAATCACAGACAACTGGAGCATTTTAAAAATCTGGCTCCCAGACTGAATGCCAGAGAGATAGAAAAGGCCTGAGAGTCAGGAGATCCCTAATGCCAGCTCTGCTACTCTAATGCCAGCTCTGCTACTCTAATGCCAGCTCTGCTACTCTAATGCCTGTGTGACTTTAGGCTTCTGTGGTCCCACCTTCATTTTGAAGGGTTTAGATCAGCACAAGATGATGCTTCAAACTTCCTTTCAATTCTAAAGTTCTATTAGTCTATGAACATTAACACATATAAAACTACATCTTACGCATGTATTTAAATTATATCTTATCATACAACATTAAGAAATAGCAACTTACCCCTGGTGGTTTGTAGATTATGTTGTCGCCACTATATCTTTCCGGTTTTGAAACATCCCTATAGGAAGGGAGAAATAGTAATAAACCTGAATGACAGAATTTTGCAATGTAGGAATTACAGACTTGAAATATATACTTATCCATCATCTTCCCTATTACAAGACTATGCAATACCAAGAAAAGTATACATTTAAAGAAAACGTTTAATATGAGGCAGACTTTTTAAAGGAAAATTTTAGTTAGTTGTTTTTGTGTTTTGTGTAAGTTTAGATTGGGAGTTTTAGCACTAAAAGGTTGTTTTTGACCCCAGACTGTTTTCCGGCAACTAGGGATCAAGGTCATTGGTTTGGTCACATGGACTAATTAAAAAAAAACAAAAACGAAATAACCCACATCACTAAAATATAGTTCCATAAATAAGTAATTTTTTGTTTATTTGTCCATTGTTGTTTCCTGAACCTAGTACAGTATCTGGCACACAGAAGTTGCTTAATAAACATTTGTAGAGTACTACAACAAATTATTTTTGTAATCAATTTTTAGATTAATTGAACACTGATTTATCTCTAGTTTCTAACTAGAGTAGTCCAGGAGATAGAGGCAAGGGGTGCTAACCTAGATTGATAACCGTGGGAACAGAAAAAAATGTGTTCCATTAATTAATTAATTCAATAACTATTTACTATGTGCTTCCTTTGTACCAGCTATGGTCTTGGCATTGGATAAACGGGAGTGAACAAAACTATCAAAACTCTCTCTCTCATGGAGTTTACATTTTGGTGAGTAGAGACAGACTAACAAGTAGATATATTTATCTTTGGTGGTTACAAAAAAATGCTATGAAGAAAATAAGTGGAATAAGTAAAGAATGACAAATTAAATAATGGTAGTGCTACTTTAAATAAAGTTATCAGGCAAGGACTTTCTGATGAGATGACATCTGGGAGAAGCACTTCCAGATTCAGGCTCTGCTGCAGGACTGTGCTTGCAGCATTTAATGAATATGGGTTGGGCACTGTGGCTCATGCCTATAATCCCAGCACTTTTGGAGGCAGACGTGGGAGGATCACTTGAGGCCAGGAGTTCAAGACCATCCTGGGCAACATGGTGAGACCTCAATCGCTTAAAAAACAAAAAACTGATAATGCGCACAATAAAACATACAAACAAAATCTCACAAAAGCATTAAAGCAAGGACAAACAATAAAGGTCAAAAAATGGAGAGGATATATTGTGCCAGACATCCAGGCTCCATTCAAGATAGCTACTACAGTTAAGCCTAATAGTCATGAGCCAATGAAAAGAGAAATAATACTGCATGGAAGTCAAAGGATGGTTGAGATAACCTCCAATGAGGAGAGAGGGTCAAGAACAGAACCACAAAAATGATTCCATCTTGAGAAAAAGAAAAAAAAAAGGGAGATAAAGTCACAGAATTCAGACAGGTAGGGAGCAAACCAGGGGGATTCAATGTAAGTGTTGACACAGCAAAAAAAGAAAAAGGTAGTTGAACATCACACCCTTCAGAGGAATTGAAAAGGAGTAAGATGTTTAAAAGGCCACTCGATTTGGTAATTAAGAAGTCATTTTGTGACTGTGTAGAGACAAGTTTCATTAGAGCAATGGAGGTGAAAGTTAGCTTCCAAAAGGTTAAGTTTTTTACTGGTTAGAATTTAAGAAAATCAAGGTAGCCAGGCATAAACTAATCTTTGAAAAAAATAAAAAGAAAAAGAAAGGTGAAATTATAGCTTAAGAGAAGAGGCAGGTCAGGAAAGAAAGAAGCGTGTTTTCAGAAAAGGAAAGCAGTTCTTGAAAAGGGTCAGGTTGAAAACACAAGCAGGAACAACTGATGGATCAAAGCCCCAGAGGAGTTTGAAGGACACCAGTTACAAGGACATCAGTGAAGAGGTTAGCCTTAGAAAGAATTGTTCCCCTGAGACAGGGAAGATCTATAAAAAAAGGTGGTGGAGAGATGGAGATGAATGAAGACGATAAAACTCATGCTTCTTAACAAGAAAGACAGTGTGTTGTTTCACTGTGGTTACCCCACAGATTAGCATTTTGTCTGACATAGGGTAAGAGTTAGTAAATGAGTTGAATAAAAGCATGAATTAGTTAATTGTTAACTTGTCCATTTTTTCCCTCTTGCCCACATTCTGAAATAGATAATACTACAGAAAGAAAAACAGACTTTTAAAACCTTAAAAAGAATTCAGAGACAGGTATAAAGACTGTTTAGTGATTTTAAAAGGATTGAGATCATTTTTGGAAAGATCATCTTCAGGAAATGACCAAATACAACAGCAATTTAACATGGCAGCCAACCAACCCACTAACACACTTTTAAATAAGATACTTACCCAAATGCAGAAAGAAAGGCACAGTCATCATGCAAAATATTCGCTACTCGTTCAAAAACTCTATAGTTGTCCGAGTCCTTTTGCTCAAAATATCCAATGATATTTCTTTTGCTGCGCTGTAAAATAAAGTATGCAATTATTTTGCAAACATACATAGTTTTATAAACATGTTATTTCATTTACCCGTTATCTTAGTACCTAAACAAGTCCAGTCATTGTTCAAATGAAGTATGACTATAAATGCATATTTAGTTTTTAACACCTAGTCCAAAACTGTTAAAGATTACATTGGGTTGAAAACAATCTTAACTATAATAAATACAATCATAAACATTTCCTTCCAGCGTTCAAAATTCTTAAGAAATAGATAACTATTTGATCAGTGACAATCTTTTCCTAAGTAAGGGGACTAATTCTAAAATGTGTTAAAACAATGTATCAATCATAACTTGTGACTGTTGGAGAGACTCCTCCATGGCTCTCTCACACTCCTACCCATCTTACTGGGTACACCAAAAAATGCAAGACCCTGACTATCCTTTATCCAGGCCATTTCTCAGAGTTGTGCTTGTAGCGAGCAACACGGAAATACGAGGTAATGCCTCTAGCCAGGACAAATAGCAGGGTTACTGCTTGCTCTGAAATAGTGAGTTCCCCAAGCCCAGTGTCCCTTTCCTGTGACATAACCCAGTGCATGTGCAGGTATCCATCTGGGGAGCCCTCTGTATTGCCTCCATAGGATTTGGAGGGCAAGGAAACAAATGCAAACATGCTCACACTACTTGCTGTGATGTGAGCAATAAAGTCCTTTGTCTCTGACCCAGCAGTCTTGTGTCTTCTAAAAGAATCCATGAAATGGTAATTGGTTAGCTTAGCTTGCAAGTAGGGTAAAGTCAAATCTCAAACCTGACAGTGATGATTGGTGATTGTGATAAAGCCCAAACTCAATTGTTTTTGCTTTTGTTGTTTGTTATCTTTAAAACACTACCTAGTGTACAAAGAAAGGGGTGTGCTAAACTTATTATTAAGAAGAGGCTATTTAAGAGGACATTAAAACTCATAAAAAGAGCTCATACAAAAGTAATTAGAGCAGACACCCTGAAGCTCTCCACAAGAAAAATACAGAAGCTCTGGTTGTATATACTTGACTTTTAACTTCCATTTCTTTATAATTGAGGCTTTCCTTTGTGCTCAATTAATTCAAATTAGTACAGCTTTACTGCATGCTATATCTTTTATCCAGAAGTTCAGTATAACATAAGCATTTGCCTTGAGATTAATTCAAAAAAATTCAACTCATTAAGTATACGTATGTCAAATCCACTGCAATAGACTATAGGAGAATGTCCAGATTTTTTGTTTGCATTAGAATTTGTTTACATTAATCAGGGAATGTTTGTTTAATCTAGCAAAAGTTACAACTTACATCAAGAGTGGTGATTTCTGCTAAGTCCCGAATTTCTTGAATGGGGTCACTTTTTTGTTGCCTGATGTAATCTGCCAATGCTTTCACTGATCGCTGACCCCTGTATTCTCTCTTCATCATCATCCCATTACGAAACAATTTGAGGGTTGGGTATTTGCTTATCCTGTATCTCTGGGCTATGTCAGCTAAAAGAATGAAAAAAAATTATTTACCCTCATATGTAGTCAGGGCAAGCCTGTTTGCCTAATGGTCAAAAATCTTACAATTGCTTAGTGAGAACTTTTTGGTTCAAGTCATTGTTTTTCAGTGAGAGAGAAAAAAATAATAATAATCAGGACTTGAGTTTACATTATTTAAGAGACCAGGTTCTGGACTGGGTTTAAATCCTAATTTGCGACTTACTGGCCATGTGAACTGGTAAACTGCATAAACTCTCCATGCCTTAGTTCTCATCTATTATATAAGGATAATCATTTCTACCACATAAGATTGTCTTAAGTATCAAATTAAATAATACAACAGACGCCACAGTAAGCATGGCACATGAATAATGACTACAAAAAACAGCAATAATGCCTTATGGGGTTCGACAGACATTAAAATACCTGACAGCAGCATATAAGCTGGGGAGGGGAGGTAAGTTATGTTAAATATTCTAAAGTCTTTGCATGGTCCAGGAAGAGGCAAAAGTACTTACAATATTTTGTTTAGTCAAGGTTGTACTTTATTCTCTCTAGCATAGGCAATCAAAAATACTAAAAATATATTAGAGGTTAAAATGGAATATGAGCTCTCAGAAGGGGGGCTGGAGGAAAAGATTATATAACACTTTGGCAAACGAAGTAACTAAGATTATATAGCACTTTGGCAAATTCCATGTGGATTTATAAAGTAGAAATCATGATTACTAAAATTCTTTAAACAGAAGACAAATATGAATAAACAACGGGAACAACTGGTCATACTGAGATTGAGAAGAATGCTTTATTCATCAAATCACAGAAATCTGAAGACATTTTAATTTATACATAATTAACATAGACAATAATCTGTCTGCTTTAGGAGCTGGTACTTCCTTGAAGCAGATGCATAATAGATACATATCAACTATATGTCCCTTTTCAACCTGATAAATTACAAGGAGAGACTATGTCTTTGGGGTGCTATAAAGATGATGGGTCCTATTACCTGAGCAAGGATTTAATGAGATTAAATTGGTACTACAAATTGAGAAATGAGAGAGTGGTACCATAAACAAGTAGAAGGCTTTTAAATAAAATAGAGACACCTGTAATAAAGCACAAGCCACAAAGACTTGAGCTTATCCTACTTACAATGATAAATAACCTGAGAAATCATAAAAAAAAAAAAAATAAGAAACTTTGATTTCTTTTTTTTTTTTTTGAAGACAGGGTCTTGCTCTGTCACCCAGGCTGGAGTACAGTGGCACGATCACAGCTCACCACGGCCTTAACTTCCTAGACGTAAGCAATTCTCCCACTTCAGCCTCCAGAGTAGCTGGGACAACAGGTGTGTGCCACCATGCCTGGCTAATCTTAAATTTTTTTAATTTTTAATTATTTTTTGTAGAGATGAGGTCTCACTATGTTGCCCAGGTCAGTCTTGAACTCCTGAGCTCAAGCAATCCTCCCGCCTCAGCCTCCCAAAGCTGGGATTACAGTTGTGAGCCACTGTGCCTAGCCATAAAATGAATTTTTGCATGATGTATAAACAAAAAGTTTTAAAAAATTAGATCAAATAGTTCTAATGGCCTACACTACAGTGTTGTAGTCTTGAGAATGGAAAATGCCTTTTTAAAAGTTACTATTTTGGCCAGGCCCAGGGGCTCATGCCTGTAATCCCAGAAGTTTGGGAGAATGAGGCGGGTGGATCACTTGAGGTCAGGAGTTTGAGACCAGCCTGGCCAACATGGCAAGACCTTGTCTCTACTAAAAATACAAAAATTAACCAGGCATGGTGGCACATGCCTGTAATCCCAGCTATCTGGTGGCTGAGGCACGAGAATCTCTTGAACCTGGGAGGAGGAGGCTGCAGTGAACCAAGATCGTGCCAGTGCACTCCAGACTGGGTGACAGAGTGAAACCCTGACTCAACAACAACAACAACAACAACAACAACAACAACAACAACAAAGTTACTATTTCTCTAAATGTCCATCAATAGGAGACTGGCTGAATAAAGTATGGTACCCATATAATGAAGTACTAGGCTGTAATATAAAGAAATAAAAAAGATCTCTGTTTGCTGCTAAGGAGCAATCTTCAAGACAAGTTAAAAAAAAAAAAAAGCCAGGTGCAGAAGAGTGTGTACAGGTCAAATATTTTGTGTAAGAAATAGGGAGAAGAAACTTGGGGAAGAAATATAAATACATATGTATATACATGCACACATATTTACATGTCTATATATGTTTGCTTATATAGTTGTCTCTCCTCTACCCACAAAAAAAAAACACCAATGGGAGAAAATGGAGAGGTCAGGGATGAATTCCCTGACTATACTTTGGTTTTATAGTTTTGACTTTGGAACCATGGAAATGTTTAACATTAAAACAAAATGAAATTTTAAAACAATTTAATACTGTCATTGTTATTTTGAAATTAAATACATACACATATATTACAGATAAAGCACATGAGTAATCATGCTAATGCCATTAAGAATCAAGATTTTCAGCATAAGGAAAACATATATAAAACTGAGTAATTAAGTAAAAACCCTATAATTTGAATTGGAAGTACTGGTATGACCTCATGTTGTTCTCTTTCAAAAAATATACTTCTAAGCTCCTTCCACTGATAGCTATTATCAGTAAGTTAATTCCAATAAGTTTGATGATTCACATAATTCCCATGAAAATATAACTAATCAAAACTGACACTAGAAGAAACAGAAGATATAAATGGTCCTAAAATTATTGCCAGGTACAGTGACACATGCCCATAGCCCCGGCTATGGTAAGATTGAGGCAGGAGGTTTGCTCGAGCCCAGGAGTTCAAGACTAGACTGGGAAACATAGAAAGACCCCATCTCAAAAAATAATCCTACAATTATTAAAGAACCCAAATCTAATTCAAAGCCTTTCCACAAAGAAAACTCCATTCCCACACATCTTCACCAGTAAATTCTACCAAACATTTAAGGAGCCAATAATGGCAATTTTACACAAACTATTCCAGAGAATACAAAAACAGGGAACACTTCCCAACTAGTTTTTGAGGTCAACGTAATCTTCACGGGAATCCTGACAAGAAAATTATGAGAAAAAAAAAGTATTTGTTAATCTTACTCAAGAATATAGATGCAAAACTTGAATAGAAATATTAACAAACTTAGCACTACATACAAAGGATAATACATCACAATAAAGCTGGATTTAGTCTAGCACTTCAGTTTAGATAAATATTTGAAAACCAATTAATGTACATCACAACACTGACAGAATGAAAGAGACAAATTTTGTTATCTCTCAAAAGCAGAAAAACATTTGATAAAAATCTATATTCATTCATGCTTAAACACTCTTAGCAAACTAGGAAGAGAACTTCCTTAATTGAAAAAAAGGATATTTAAATAAACAACTGACTTGTGATATACTAAAAGCTGATATAACAAACAACTGAAATGGTGATATACTAACAGCTTTCATGCTGAGATCAAAAAAGAAAAAAGATGCCTGCTATCACTTCTATATAATACTGATTTGGAGTTCTTGGTCAAAATAATAATAATAATAAAAGACTGTAAAGGAAGAAATGTCATTACTTGCAGGTGTTTTTATTGAGTTCACAGAAAATCCAAAAGGGAATCTACAAATGGATTTCCATTTTCAAGCAGGGTGTAGTGGGAAGCAAAAATGTGTTGGTCCTACTGCAACAACTAGAAAAAACTTTGTATCATATTTTTAAGATACCAGAAATCATGAAAACAATGAAGACTAAAGGAACTGACATTCCAGGAAAGGAAGAACCATTCCTAAGGTAAGCAAAGATCACTAGCCATTTTCTTTCTTATAGGTTTCCTGTGTAATTTGTTTTGGAAATTAAGCCTGCAGTTGCAGATTTAGGGCTGAGAATTATACCTGCATAGGCAAGAGAAATGTCTCCAGAGGACATCTGCTGAGTGCTGGGGTGATATACAAACCTGGGGAGTTGGGTCACAAAGACGAAAAATCTCCTATGGCCTCCTGGTACTTAGGAGACAACGTCTACTTTGGAAAGGACCTGCAACCCTGTATCAAGACCACATGCAGCCAAGACATTTGCCAGATTTTGAAGCCACAAAGATTAGGAAGCATCTAGACATTAAAAGAAAAACACGAATTTTTAAGACAGACAGGAAGAAAGGTACTTGTGACATGTACTAGAGACAACTGATTAATATTCAGAATATAAAAAGAATGAACTAAAAAAAGACTACCAAAAAGATAAGTGAGTTAAAGCTATCAGTTTATGAAAGAAACACAGATTGCCAATAAACTATTACATATGTTCAGTTGTAATCAGAAAGTTACAAATTAAAACTCCCAGATAACATTTTGTCTTTCATACTGGCAAAAAATCAGTAATAATAAAAATGTTTTAAACTAAAATTCAATAATATGAAACCCTGTGAAAGTAAAATATTCCTAGTAGGTTTCATTTAGGTCCAATATTCAATGTTAATAAAGGTAAACTAGCCTAGCTGGTGCCTACTTTGTCAACAAGAAGTCAAGTAATCTTTTTTAATACCCTAAGACTTTTTAATACCCAAAGGATCTGGCAGAGAGGATATGAGATGGACTCAGAAGCAAAGAAACTAGTCTAATACAAAACATATATTTTCCACCTGTGTCCTAAGTATCAGTATGAAAATGGACAGCAAGATGCACTATAGGAGACAATATAATGCTTTCAACTTTCTAAACTTGATGAATTAGGGGGCGCAATGAGAAAGTAGTGTGCTAACAGCAAGTATGCATAAACCAGGAGTAGAATAAATAAGGTTAGAGACGGACTCTAGAGGGTCTTAAGCACTAAGCTGATGGAGTTTGAATTTTATCCAGTGTTGTGATAAGCAGCCACTGAGCTGTAGAGCTGGGCTTTCAAAAAATTCACCTGGAAGTAGTAGAGAACCAGGGAGACTAGTACTGTAATAGTTGTGGCAAAAATCACAAGAGTCTATTAACAAACATTACAATCTTTAGGTTGCTTTAAAATTCTGGTTACAGAGAGAAAAAGATTTAAAATATTTGAAAACTATTATGGGATTAGATATTCATTTGCTTCATTCTCAAACAACATCCTGGCAGCAGGTATGCTGCATAATGCAGTGGCGTTTAATTATTAAGAAGCAAAAACCTTAAAATTACATTGATCAGTAATCTCAGACATAATGCTTTTTTTTTTATTTTACAAGCTTTGGCCAAAAGTGATTTTAAGATAATTAGAATGTGACACTTTGACAATATAACAAAAAATGACTTAAGGGGTATAATAAATGGGTTTTTAAAATTAACTGGATAGATCAAATGTTAAAATGGATGTCAGAGGAATTATAAATCCCAGAAGGTTAACAGCTCACTGATTGGAAAATTAGCATATATTTTTGCTCCAATGGTCACTTACTTTTCCTTGATGGGTCCTGCCTGCCTGCCTCACTAATACCCAGCAGGGTTCCAAATGGGGAAATTGCCTCATACTCGTTTCAGCAACGTCTCTCCCTGCAATGGTTATCCATGGCAGAAAATACAAAGAGGCAGATCATTTCAACAGGAAAGTCTTATTGTTCTTCTGGTTCCAGGAGAAGGACCACTGCTGCCTATGTACTTCTTCCCATTCCCAAACTGCACCCCTCAAAACAAACAAAAAAACCCCAAAAAGACAAACATCCCCAAAAAACAAAACAAAATACCTCAACAGAAAACTAATAAGCAAAGCCTAGAAGTTCACTCAGAACTCAGGCTTAACTGCTCATCCAAATTCTGTTCTATGCACATAAAGTCTTCACTTCATATTTTCTTGTTCTTACTATGATATTTATATATAGTTCCTATAAAAAGCTTCTCAATTTCCAATAAGTAAGGTTCGAGTTGCACTGGAAGACAGGTAAGAGTAACTCAGGTATATGGGTGCATGTGCTACCTAATCAAGGACAATTACAAAGTACTTTCCTAAAAACACAAGTGTGGGTCTGTTCTGCACTGACCAGCAAGCATATGAATGCCTCTTGCTTAGTGCCATACAGCCTAAGGCCACTGGAGGTCAGCAGAGAACCTGGTCCCACCAGGGGCTGACTGATGGGACTTTCTAGATTCAAGGCAGCAAGCATGACCACCAAGGAGAATAATGAATTACGCTCCTGAATTCCCCAAATGATAAGACTGCAGAAGATAAGATGTGAAGCAAGTTGAAGCAAGGCCATGTTTTAATTGTGTGCATATGTACATGCATGTGTACATGTGTGTCTATGTGTGTTTCGAAATTTTGGAAAGCAGACAGTTACAAAGAAGAAAACAAGAACCACTTCCAACCACCACTGGAGAAAACCACTATTAACATTTTGGCTTATATTTTGGTAACTTTGAAGAAAAGTTGCTTAACTAGCAGAGATATATTTCAATTCAGAAAAAATAAACTCTGAGGTTAGTCAAATAGTAAAGTGATAGCATCAATACTTGCAGAATGGGTTTTAGCAGCTTGGAAGAAATTCCTAGAGAGAGTAGAGCATTACCAATACTCTTAATGGCATGGAGGCCAATACTGTGTAAAAAAACAAAAACAAAAACAAAAAACTCGACTCAGTTGAGAAATGATGCACAAGAGTCAGACTCTAGTTTCAGAATAACTTGAACAAATTTATTTTCCTTTTAAGGCACACACAATAATGACAGAATTTTTAAAATCTATTTCTGAGTCTAAAATAGTTTTCACAATAGGTATAAAAAAATTCTAAGTGTCCCTATCTCTCACCATAAACAAAAATCAACTCAAGATGGATTAAAGACATAAATCTAAGACCCGAAACTATAAAACCAGTAGAAGAAAACATAGGGGAAATGCTTTAGCACATTGGTCTGTGCAAAGATTTTTATGGATACTGCTTTAAATGCACAGGCAAAAAAAAAAGCAAAAATAGACAAATGGGATTTTATCAAACTAAAAAGCTTCTGTAGGGCAAGGGAAACACTCAACAGAGTGAAGAGGCAACCTGAGAATTAGTGGAAATATCTGTAAACTAATCATCTGATAAGGGATTAACATCCAGAATATACAAGCAACAACAACGACAACAAAATCCTATTTTAAAAAGGACATGGCATCTCAACAAACATTTCTCAAAAGACATACAAATGGCCAAAAAGCATGTGAAAAAAAATTGTCAGTTTCACTAATCATGTGGTTACATACAAATCGAAACCACAATGAGATATCATTTCACCCCAGTTAGAATGGCTATTAACAAAAATGTGAAAATAATTAATACTGCAGAGGATTTGGAGAAAGGGAAACATTCACATGTTGTTGATGAGACAGTAACGTAGCACAGCCACTATGGAAGACAAAATGGAGGTTCCTCAAAACCTAAAAATAGAACTACCACATGATCTAGCAATTCCATTACTGTGTATTTATCCAAAGAAAAGGAAATCAGTATAGCAAGGACATATCTGCACCACCGTGTTTACTGCAGCACTATTTACAATAGTCAAAATATGAAATCAACCTAAGTGGCCATCAACAGATGAATGGATAAAGAAAATGTGGGGCCGGGTGCGGTGGCTCATGCCTGTAATCCCAGCACTTTGGGAGACCGAGGCGGGCAGATCATGAGGTCAAGAGATTGAGACCATCCTGGCCAACATGGCGAAACCCCGTCTCTACTAAAAATACAAAAATTAGCCGGGCGTGGTGGTGCGCACCTGTAGTTCCAGCTACTCAGGAGGCTGAGGCGGGAGAATCACTTGAACCCAGAAGGCAGAGGTTGCAGTAAGCCGAGATCATGCCACTGCACTCCAGCCTGGCAACAGAGCGAGACTCAGTCTCAAAAACAAAGAAAAAAGAAAATGTGGTACATATACACAATAAAATACAACTCAGGGCTGCTCTGCCTATGGAGTAGCCATTCTTTTATTCCCTTACTTTCCTAATAAACTTGCTTTCACTTTACTCTATGGATTCACATCAAATTCTTTCTTGAGATCCAAGAATCTTCTCTAGGGGTCTGGATCAGGACTCCTTTCTGGTAATATCCTCCTGGTGAACCATGGAGGGACGATATTGAGGAAACCCCCAACCCAAAAGGAAACAGACTGCAGCACCAAATGGCCAACTCTGGGTAAGTAGTGGGGTATCCGGGTAAAGGATGGGATTGGGTTAGAGGCCCAACTGAGGGGAGTTAGAGTGTCTCCTAAAAAAGAGTGGGTTAAAGGCCCCTCTTAATAAAAGGCAAGGACATCTGGTGGAACTTGGGTTCAAGGCCCAGCTTAGGATGGTTAGAATACTTCCTAAAATTTAGGGAGTTAGAGGCCCCACTCAGTAAAGTTCCTCTCAGCTATGAATGGATTTGGCATTATGGGGAGTTAACCACTATTCTCTTTGGATTAATCTGCCTTGTACTCTTCGCTGACAGCTGTGGGTGACAGGATTAGGCATGTACAGGATCACTGGACATGGAGAGCCTTTTTTCTCCCCAAAAGGGGAAACTTGAAAGCTGGTGAGACTGTTGGAAAACCCCTTTGCAACTGACAAGTGACCGCCTGAACTTTTGATTGAGTGTCACTGCAATAAGTAGGTCTTTCTCTGGCCTCCCTGAGCACCTTGCCTTCCCCACCTTGCTGCAGGCAATGAATGCTTTTCTCCCTTTCCTATCCTCTGTGCCCTGAGACCACATGACAGCAGAGGTTGGATTAAAGATGACAGGGCCCATCTGAGGGCAAGTTTGAACCTTGCCAATTCCATATTGCATACTAAGCAGAGTGGCTACTGTAGCGAATCTGGTGTACTTTGTGCTGCAACTTTGTCTTTCTACATTGCTCTGTCATAAAGAAGAATACCTTTATGGACAGAACACGGGCTTAGGATCCCATAAGCCCAGGTTCAAGCCAGCCTGGAAAACTGGTTAATTACAGACTTTGCTGCAAGTACCTGAAAAAAAAAAATGCTGAAGTTTCCTTCTCATTTTGTTCTATGTCTTTGGGAGCTTGACCTTGTAAGAATGGGTCAGTACTTTCTGTTGGTCTCTGCCATCCAGGGAACAGGAGTTTTGGGGTCCATGTCATAGTTTGCTCAAAAAATTATCTTAAGCCATTAAAAGCCTTTGCAAGCTCAAAACTGACTGCTCTAGCCTCCTTCAGGGAAGAGCAATAGAAACTGTCCAATGCTGTAGCTTAGTAGCTAAGGCTTTGTCTTTTCACAATGGTGGCACAGGTTGAGGGTTCAATTCCTGGCTTAGGGAATAAGTCCTTTCTGGTTTGATATCTGTAAGACCTTTATCATTTGTTGACTCCCTCCCTCTCCACGAACCATCTTGAATTTTCCTTTCTCTGAGCACCTTGGAGGTTACCTTTGGTAAAGTTCAAAACCCAGAAATACTGGTCATTTGGCCTGGCTAAAGTCAGATAATAAGAAATTTAAAAGAACTGTTTTTTTTTAAGAGTGCTATGGTTAAAAGTTAGCTTAATTAAAAGCAGATATTCAAGCTCTAACAGCCTGGGATTCCCTGGGAAAAACAGAGGAGGCACGACAGACCCTGTTTTGGGAAAAACCTCTGTTTTCCTCATGAAACCCTAGAAATTAGAAATAGCTAAGATTCCTCTCAAAATCTAAGGTTCTGTTCTGTTTTGCATTATGTTATCTGACGTTTTTGACTTTGGAAGGTATCAGAAATTACTTTGAATTATGAGAGAACTACTTAAGAAATGTATTTTTGGGCATGCTTAATGGCAGTTATAGTTTAATACTTGACTCTGCACTTTTGGATTAGAGAAGCATGCTCTTGGCCCCCTAGAAGGTATGAAAATGTCCTCACACCCCACTGAGAGATAAGACTCCCATGGGAGATGGGCTGGCTCCCTCTTTTTTTTGGGATCCAGGATCTGGTATAAAAATGGGACCCTTAATTTGGGGGATCTATTTTGCATTCCAGCTATGCCCGCTTATTAGGCTGTAGAAACTGCACACTTCCCTGGCCCTGTTCCTCCAGGGCTCCACCCTGAAGCCAGTAATCCAATTAAAAAACTGGGAAGTAAAAAATCTTACAACTACTAGATCTTCTGTGTATTTATATATGTTGTGTGTAGTGTAAAAAAAGCATCTATTGGCTTAAAACTAATAAGTGCTTAAATCAAGTTATAAATTATGTCTTTTCTGACCTAATTAATCTTTTAGATATTAGGTCCCCTAAAGTCAAAAAATGACATATTTGGCTTATTTGGTATGAAAATCATACAAGAAGCATTGCCAAATATGAGATGGTATTTGGCTTTCTTTGGGCCGTATTTGTATAAATATGTTACTGGTATGTGTTCTAAAATTATAAGAAACTCCTATTACTCTGAAATGACTTAGTCTATGTTATTAATAATTATAATTGATATGTAAAATTGTTGTATGGCACAGAAGTAAGCAAAATTAACTTGTCAATTGTGGCTTTAATAGTGGCTGTCCTAAGACTTTTTGGCATCCACAGACAATGTTGTCTTGTATTGATCCTCTTCAGAAGGTGGTTTTATAATCAACTCTAGAACTCTAACAGGTATTCTTGAATGCAGGTTTCTGATCTTTGGAGATTCTGACTTTAGAGGAAAAAGCATTCAGGACTCATGGAGAGCTGAAATGTTCGTGACTATTAAGCAAGACAGGTATTAACCACATGGACCTAACTAATAGAGGACAAAAATAATCTTTTTTGACTTTTTGCTTAAAATGTTGCTGATCCTTTGTTTAGTTTTTAAGAATCAAGGAAACTCTTCTTTTGAGCTATTAACAGCTTTTAATAATTAAGTAAAGTATACTCCTGTGAACAAAATTTGGAGCATATTTGTTTCTACCTGATTTCTCCAGAATTTGGAAACTATTTGTAAGTATTCTTAACTTATGGCAATACAATTATTTGCATAAGTGCAATAAGAATGTTTTCTTTTGCATCATGACACAATTGGAAAAATTTGTTATTTTACCAAGGCTTTGACTAGAATGGTGTGCTTTCCTTTAAGGAATCAACGTTGACTTGTAGAGCCAATAAAAGCCCCTTGAGAAAACTGGCCTTACACCTTGTCTACACAGTCCCTGTACATGGTTTCTGACCTGTGGTAAGTAAAGAATGTCACTTTCTGATAGGCCAAGGAGCCCCAAGTTATCTTGGGACCTCAAGAGGAAAGGAATTTACTAAACTCACAGGTATTTGAGGATACAAACCCATGGCTGGGCTCAACTTTTTAAAAAAGTCTAACCTGAGATTCCTTCTATGAAAGAAAATCCCATTAAAGCCAATTAAGAAAGCCTGTGTGAAAAATAATTATTCTTGCTGCACTTTATACAAATAACTAGGCCAAGTATAATAAAGCAAAGCAGTCTTACCATGATTTATCTTTAGTAAAAATGAGGACTGGAGAGAGAACTATGGTACACCTGTCTCATCAGTTGTTTTTGAGGTTTTTTCTGCTATTGAGACTGACTCTGCTTATTCCTGTGAATCAACCAGTCATCTCTGGCTGGTACTCAGAAGCAAGAGGGATGGATATCAACTTTTATTAGAACTCAGAGTTATGAATGGCCCTCGACATATCAATGCTTTCTGACTCAGCTCCTCTCTACCCTGAATACAAGAGACTCTAATAGGTAGGCAGGAATATCATTGCCCCTATTCAAGCTCAAGTTACAGAATATGGATCTTTGTCCCTCTACAATCCTTAGGATTAAGGGTTCCCTTGTAAAAGAGAGAGGGAAAATATGCCAGAGGCCACTCAACCAGGTCAACTCTGTCAGAGGCGTTCAAACCAGAGTGACTCCATGTTGCATAGGGGTTGGGTAAAATAAGGCTGAGGCTTACTGAGCTGCATTCTCAGGAGGTTAGGCATTCTAAGTCATAGGATGAGATAGGAGGTTGGCACAAGATACAGATCACAAAAACCTTGCAGGTTGCAGTAAAGAAGCTGGCCAAAACCCAACAAAACCAAGATGACAATGAAAGTGAACTCTGGTCATCCTCAGTGCTCATTATGATAATTATTAATATAATGCATTATCATGCTAAAAAACAAAACACTCCCAGCAGCACCATGACAGTTTACAAATGACACGGCAATGTCAGGAAGTTACCTTACATGATCTAAAAAAGGCAGGAAGTTCCAGGAATTGCCCACCACTTTCCTAGAAAACTCAAATAATCCACCCTTTGTTTAGCATATAATAAAGAAGTAACCATAAAAATAGCCAGCCAGCAGCCCTTGCGGCTGCTCTGCCTATGCAGCAGCCATTTCTTTTATTCCCTTGCTTTCCTAATTAATTTGCTTTCACTTAATTAAAAAAAACAAAAAAACAAAAAACAAAGAAAAAGAAAAAGAAATACAACCCAGCCAGTCAAAAAGAGAAAGACAGGAATAGTATTAATCTGTAAATTGTTTTGGGCAGTATGGCCATTTTAACGATATCAATTCATTTCCACAGAATTAGAAAAAACTATTGTAAATTCATACAGAACCAAAAAAGAGCCTCAATAGCCAAAGCAAACCTAGGCAAAAAGAACAAAGCCAGAGGCATCGTATTACTGGACTTCAAACTATACTACAAGGCTATGATAACCAGAACAGTAAGATACCAGTACAAAAACAGACACATAGAATAAAGGAACAGAATAGAGAACTCAGAAATAAAGCCACACACTTACAACCACCTGATCTTCTACAAAATCAACAAAAATAAGCAATGGAAGAAGACTCTCTATTCAATAAATGGTATTGGAATAACTGGCTATCCATATGCAAAAGAATGAAACTGGACCTCTACATATCATCATATACAAAACTTAAGTCAAGACAGATTAAAGACTTAAACATATGACATCAGACTATAAAAATCCTATAAGAAAACCTAGGAAATACCTTTCTCATCATTGGCCTTGGCAAAAAATTTATGGCTAAGACACCAAAAGCAACTGCAACAAAAACAAAAACTGGTAAGTGGGACCTAATTAAACTAAAGAGCCTCTGAACTGCAAGAAAAACTACCAAGGAAGCAAACAAACAACCTACAGTATGGAAGAAAATATTTGCAAATGATGCACTCAACAAAGGTCTAATATCTAGAATCTATAAGGAACTTATTAAATCAATAAACAAAACACGAATAACCCCATTAAAAAGTAGGCAAAGGCCTGTAATCCCAGCACTTTGGGAGGCCAAGGTGGATGGATCACCTGAGGTCAGGTGTTCAAGACCAGCCTAGGCAACATGGTGAAACGCCATCTCTACTAAAAATACAAAATTAGCCCGGCATGGTGGCATGTGCCTGTAATCCCAGCTATTTAGGAGGCTGAGGCAGGAGAATTGCTTGAACCCGGTAGGCAGAGGCTGCAGTGAGCCAGGATTGTGCCATTGCACTCCAGCCTGGGCAACAAGACCGAAACTCTGTCTTAAAAAAATAAGAATAAAAATAAAAACAAAAAGTAAATAAAAAAACAAAAAGTGGACAAAGGATGTGAACAGACACTTTTCAAAAGACGACATACAAGCAGCCAACAAACATATGAAAAAATGCTTATTATCGCTAATCATCAAAGAAATGCAAATCAAAACCACAATGAGATACCACCCCATGCCAGTCAGAATAGCTTTTGTTAAAAAGTCAAAAAAGAACAGATGATGGCAAGGCTGAAGAGAAAATGAGGCACTTAAACAACTGTTGATGGGAAAGTAAACTACTCCAACTGTGGAGAGCAGTGTGGAGATTTCACAAAGAACTAAGAGTTGAACTGCCATTCAACCCAGCAATCCCATTACTGGGGATATACCCAAAGGAAAATAAATTGTCCTACCAAAAGGACACATGCATGCATATGTTCCTCGCAGCACTATTCACAATAGCAAAACCACAGAACCAACCTAGGTATCCATCAACAGTGGACTGGATAAAGAAAATGTGGTACATATACACAACTGATTACTATGCAGCCATAAAAATCAACAAAATCATTTCCTCTGCAGGTGTCCATCAATGGCAGACTGAAAAAGAAAATGTGGTACATATATGCCATGGTACACTATGCAGCCACATATATAAGAATGAAATCATGTCCTTTGCAGCAACCTGGATGCAGCTGGAGGCCATTATCCTAAGTGAACTAACACAGAAACAGAAAACAAAATACTGCATGTTCTCACTTTTAAATGGGAGCAAAACATTAGGTATACATGGACATAAAGATGAGAACAATAGACACTGTGGACTACTAGAGAGAGGCAAAAGCAAGTGGGGCAAGGACTAAAAAGCTACCTATTGGGTACTCTGCTCACAGCAGGTTGACAGGTGCAGTTATACCCCAAATCTCAAAACACCGCAATATGCCTTACTGTAATAATCCTGCACATATACCCCCATGTACCCCCGATTCTAAAATAAAAGTTGAAAATGAACAAAAAAGGATGAAATCCTGTCATTTGTGGCAACATAAATGGAACTAGAGGACATTATGTTAAGTGAAATAAGCCAGGCACAGAAAAATAAATACTGCATGTTCTCATTCATATGTCGGAGCTAAGAGAGTTGAGCTCATATAAGTAGAGAGTAGAACTGTGGTTATTAGAGGGTGGGAGGGGTAGTGGGGAGGGGAGGATAGGGAGAGATTGCTTAACAGATTAAAAAAAATTACCTCTAGAGAGAGGCGGAGCAAGATGGTGAAACAGAAAGCTCCACCAATTGTCCCTCCTGCAAAGACACCAATTTAACAACTATCTACACAAAACAAGCACCTTCATAAGAACCAAAAATCAGGTGAACACTCACACTACCTAGTTTTAACTTCGTTTCACTGAAACAGGCAGTGAGAAGGTAGAAAAAACTGTCTTGAATCACCAACACCACCCCTCACTCATCCCCTGGCAGCAGCTGCACAGTACAATAAACAGTGATTGGGAGAAGGAGAGCACAGCAATTGTGAGACATTGCCTTGAACTCAGGGCTTCCCTGTTATAGCAGAAAGCAAAATTGAACAGAACTCAGCTGACGCCCACACATGGAGGGAGTATTTAAACTAGCCCAAGCCAGAGGAAAATCACCCATCTCAGCAGTCAGAACTTGAGTTCTGGCAAACATTACCACCTTGTGCCACAGTGCTCTGGGCCCCTAAATAAACTTGAAAGGCAGTGTAGGCCACAAGAACTGCAACTTCTTGGCAAGTCTTAGGGCTGAACTGGACTCAGAGCCAATGGACATGGCGGGCAGATATATGACCTACTGAGACACCAACCAGGATGGCTTAAGGGGCTGCTGGCATCACCCCTCCGTTAACCCCAGACTGCATAGCTCACCACTCCAAAAGAGACCCCTTCCTTCTGCTCAAGGAGAGGAGAGGGAAGAATGTTGAGGACTTTGTCTCGCATCTGGGATACCAGCTCAGTCACAGCAAGACAGGGCACCAGACAGTCGTGAAGCACCCTTTCCAGGCCCTAGCTCCTGGATGACATTTCTAGATACATCCTGGGCTGGAAGGGAACCTGCTGCTTTGAAAAGAAGGACCCACTCGACAGGATTCATCACCTGCTTACTGAAGAGCCCTTTGGCCTGAATAACCAGCAGCAAGAGAAAAGAAAGAAATAACATAAAATGGAACTCCAATAGGTCTGGCAGCAGACTTTTCAGTGGAAACCTTACGTGCCAGAAGAGGGTAGCATGATATATTCAAACTGCTGAAGGAAAAAGACTTTTATCCCAGAATAGTGGGATAACATCCCACTATTATTATAGTGGCAAAAACATCCTTCAAATATGAAAGAGAAATAAAGACTTTCCCACACAAACAAAACCTGAGGGATTTCATCAACATCAGATGTGTCCTACAAGAAACGTTAACGTGAGTATATTAATGAGAAAGAAAAAGACGTTAATAATAAGAAATCATCTGAACGTACTAAAGTCACAGAAAATAGAAAGTACACAGACAAACAGAAAATATTATAACACTAATTGCGGTGTGTCAACTACTTTTAAGTAAAAAGACTAAATTAGGGACCAATCAAAAAATAATAACCCCAACAACTTTTCAAGACAAAAAGTACACAGAGATATAAACAGAAACAACAAAAAGTTAAAAAGCAGGGAGATGACGTTAAAGTGTACAGTTTTTATTAGTTCTCTTTTTGCTTGTTCATTTGTTTATGCAGTGTTATCAGCTTAAAATAATGAGTTATACGATAGTATCTGGAAGCCACATGGTAACCTCAAATCAAACATACAACTGATAAATAAAAAATAAAAAGAAATGAAATCATATCACCAGAGAAAATCACCTTCACTAAAAGGAAGACAGCAAGGAAGGAAAGAAGGAAGAGAAGACCACAAAACAATGAGAAAAGAAATAACAAAATGGAAGGCGTATGCCTTTACTTATCAATAATAACACTGAATATAAATGAACTAAACTCTTCAATCAAAAGACACAGACTGGTGTAATGGATTTAAAAAAAAACAAGACCCA